>NC_000001.11:57735653-57887168 GCF_000001405.40 Homo sapiens | reverse complement strand
GAAAACTACCAAAGAAGGCTTTGCATATACTGGAGCTGATCTTGAAGTCCCAGACCTTGAGTTCTTCAATTTGGCAGTAGAATGATGTGTGAGGGTGGGAGGAGGCAGTAAAGGCAGAGGGAATCGGATATGTAAGGTAGTGATAAAAAAAAGAAAATGAAGTAGTGATGAACACCTATTGAAAACCTTCTGCATGTGTTTAAGTAATAAAAGCTGACATTTTCCAAACTTACCATTTGCCAACCACTGTTTCAAATTCTGACATCTGCAAACTCAAGCCTCACAATGACACTTTGAAGTAGGTATTATCAGCACTCCTTTTTACAAATTAAAATACGTGCCTGGAGAGATTCAGTAACTTGCCAAATATCACACAGCTGGTAGGATCAGGACCAAGACTAGAACTCAGGTTCTTTGAGTCCAAAGTCTACAAGTTTAAATATTACACTAATATTTCAGTGTAATATGGCATCTTTGCTCTTTAGATCCCTTAGTCCAGCTGTGCAGAGAAGACATGCAAATAGTGACTGCCATTCGTGACACTAAGAGGGGATAACAGCAGCAGCTATGACTTACAGAGAGTGTTAAATGAGATATGAAATGTTAAATGAGATATGAAGTATACGAAGGGCTTAGAACAGTGCCTGGTACGTGGTAAAGAATTTGTTAACTGCTGGTGGTATGATGATAAATGTGTTAACAGTAGCAGAATATGCCGGGTGCAGTGGCTCACGCCTGTAACCCAGCACTTTGGGAGGCCGAGGCAGGTGGATCACAAGGTCAGGAGTTCGAGACCAGCCTGGCCAACATAGCGAAACCCAGTCTCTACTAAAAACACAAAAATTAGCCAGGCGTGTTGGCACGCACCTAAAATCCCAGGTACTCCAGAGGCTGAGGCAGGAGAATTGCTTGAAGCCGGGAGGCGGAGGTTGCAGTGAGCCGAGATTATGCCTCTGCACTGGTTGATGGAGGGAGACTTCGTCTCAAAAAAAAAAAAAAAAAAAAGAATAGTAGGCTATAACACTACTTAGAAATTTGGAGTTGGTGGCATTTGATGTAGACCTGGACTCCTTAATGGATTATTTCAGCAAGAGAAAGCAGAATGCAGAGATGAAAGCTGACTGGAAAATTCCATTATGTTTTTTAAAAAAGTAAATAAACTAATTTGATTAAAGCAGAGGTCTTTAAAGAGAAGCAGAAAGAATAAGATTAAGCAGGAGGGTAGAAATTGCTTGTAATTAATTATATTTGTTGAGTGACTGGTACTGTTTATATTTTGGTTTTAGTCATCATAACTTTTTCCTGGGATTATAGACTCATTTTTTTCTTTTGAAGAAAATGAGGCTCAGATAATTAATGTAATATTTCTCAGGTAATCCAGCAAGAGTAGTTAAATTTGGACTTGAACTCAGGCCTGTGTTACTTAAAGTGCCATATGCTTTTGGCCACACCATACTTTCAATTTTGCAGCTCTGACTTTCTAACACATCATCAATATTTATAGAATACTTTTTCTAGTGAAAGGGGTGGAAAAAAAGTAAGAACATATTTTGTTAATGTTTTCTTCTTAGAGTTCTGCTTATCAATCACTATAGCCCAACATTTCCCCAGTTAATAGCCTGTGTCTGCTTTCATTAAAATAGAAAGAACTGGTCTCTCTGTTTGATTTCCTGTACACACATACACCCCTCAGGTTTCCTATTTGTGTGTATCTGTTATAACATATACCATCAATAATAAGCCACTGCCTGAAATGAGAGCTAACAGTTAAGAATATGGACTTCGAGGGACTGCAGGGTGCCGGGGCTAGAATCCTGGCTCTGCCCTTCATAGCTGTGGTCACAAGCAACTTTTCTACATTCTCTATACTTCTGTTTCTTTATCTTTTTAATGACAATTATAATAGTACCTACATCAGTGGTTTGCTGTTAGGAATAAATGGATTAGTATATATAAAAACTAAAAGCTATGCTTAAAATGCTATGATAATTCATTTAATATTAGCATCATTATGGCTTATAATCTAACATCTATTGAGATAAAGATCTGTGATTAGCTCTGTCCTTGATCTGTTTGTGTTTCTATAAAGGAATAACTGAGACTGGGTAATTTATAAAGATAAGAGATTTGTTTGACTCACAGTTCTGCAGGCTATACAGAAGGCATGGTGCCAACATCTGCTACTGAGGAGGGCCTCTGACTGCTTCCCTTCATGGTGGAAGGGGAGAGGGAGCCAGCATGTGCAAAGATCACACAGCTAGAGAGGAAACAAGAGGTAGAGGGGAGGGAGGTGCCATGGTCCTTTTAACAACCAGCTCTCATAGGAACTAACAGAGCGAGAACTCACTCATTACTGTGAGGATGGCACCATGCTCTTCATGAGGGATCCACCCACGTGACCCAAACACCTGCCATTAGGCCTCACCTCCAACACTGGGTATCAAATTTGAACATGAGGTTTGGAGGACAAACATCCGAACTATAGCAATGAGGATATGGAAAAGGCATTCCTTTATACATTTTCTGAAGAGCATGTAAAATTGTACAAACTTTGTGAATGGTTATTTGACAATATCTATCAAAATTTAAAATATACATTTTCTTTATCCAATAATTCTGCTTTAAGGTATTTATCCTACAGATAGATTCATCCAAGTGAAAAATATACAATTTGTACCTTTTGAATTTTAGCCTGTGTATGTTTAACCTAGTCCAACATTTTAAAATAAAGATGAATGAGCATGTTTGCTTTTATTCATGTCCTTCCCATAGCCTAGCACAGTGCTAGGCACAGAGACCCTCACAAGTTCCCTTTTGTTTAGCTCAGCACACGTCATGTGGCTCTCTGTGCCCCATGACCACCTACCCTACATGTACCATGCACACTTTCAAATCATACACTTCACCCTGAACCATTCACTTCAAACCCCATTGTGATGACCATTGTACTTTATCCTCTTTCTCTTTTGGTTTGCCTTCAAAATTGACATCGTTTTTTCATTGCAGCTATTTCCTTGGCTTCTCTCCATGACGATTCCTGACTCGTGGCCCCGGCAATCTTGGGAAGACATCATCCAGCTTCTTCAGTCCAGACCCTGGGCACCCCCCTTTTGCCAGGATCGTCCCCACCCAGCCTGGACACATTGACTGAACTGTTTTCTAGGACACTGGTGAGTAAAATGCTTGGCTACTTCATGAAAACAGTTCCAATCATCCCCTCCCAATACCTTCTCCTCCACTTTTGAGCATGATTTTGTTTCTTTCAAAAGCGGCTCCAATACTCTTCCTTTCTGGAACTGCCTCTCTGTAGTTAATAACCCAAGGTTCATTATTTGTTTAATCACTGACTTATTCAATGAGGCGGTAGCCAGCGGAATCTAAGAACTGAAAGGCGCATGCCTTTGTCCCCCTCCTGTGTGGTTCCATTCAGGGTTACTTGTCTCTGACTTAGATTGGAGACTAAATGGATTAGAATAAAACCAATTTAAGGGAAAAAAGAAATGTTCACAGAAACAGAAATAGAGAGTCCTGCTATCTTGGCTGCCTAAGATCTGCAGGCCTCACCAAGGAATTTAAAAAGTAATGTTTCTTATCATAAGTGACAGAAATATGCTGCTTTCTGCATCAATAGATATGAAGATTAAAGGGTCTGACCGTATTAAACAATTTTGCACAGCACCAGGCACTCTGGGTTGTGCTCTCTGCCTTATTACCCTTCATCGTGTGGCTATTTCAGGCCCAATTTAAGAATACAATGCAGTCTGGCTTTGCAAATTGACATCCTTTAATTTAAACTGTCTTGTGGGAGAATTAAGAAATTATGGAACAATTATTCACCCTCAGTTGAAAGCTGGATGACATCCTGAGATTCTTGTACATTAGCCATTTGAATTGATTAAGTCACGTAATTGAATTACACCTTTGCCCCATAATATCTTGTGGCAAATGTGTTGGCGGTTCTTGTTGGGAAATGCTTCCATAAAAATAGAAGAGGGGTTGGTATTAGAGATTGACCTGGATATCAAAGAAAACCTCAGAGCAGAGTGGGCTGACACTCTGAGATTCTGTGAGGGAGGTTGATTAACAGAGCAAGCGTTTTATTTGGAGTTGCAATGGAAGTTCACAGATCAAAACTGTATGCATGATATAGTGTACATCCTTCCTTAATCTCTCTTTGCATTGTCCTTGAACATTCGGCTTCAGTGTCTGGCATTCATTCTCAAAGCTTTTTCTAGCATCTCCCATGGACAAAAAAACTGGGTTCGGTGTACCTTTCTTTGTCTTACATGGTTTTCTAAATATGCTTCCATTATAGTAGCTACCACAGTGCTGACAGGTTTCTTTCACCAGGCAAGGAGGCTGGAAACCATGTCCAGCTCACCTAGGTTGGTAATAGTGCTCAATAGGTGTTTGCTGAGTGAGGTTTTATTAGTAAGTCTCTATGGTTTTGTCTCTGTTTCCTTTTGTTTCATGGGGTGAAGGGAGGTAGAATCTGTTAGTAATTTTGTAAGCATCATTCTTAAGTAGGAGTGTTTTCACTACTTATGTTATTAGACAATTTTGTAGAGGGTTTATTAAAGGCCAACTCTATCTGCTTAACACCTATGAGGCACCTATTATGTACAAAAGCTAGGCTAGATGCTGAGGGGAAAAATTAGCCAAAACATATTTCCTTTTCCTTAGAGGAGCTCAAAATCCAGTGGGGGAATTGAAGAGGTCTGTGCAAGAAATAGCTCTGGTAACTGAGCAAGCACGTAGGAGGCTGTTCCATAGTCTAGGACTCTGAGAAGGGGCCATGGTACATTCCATTTCATTCTTCTCTGATGTTCGTACTGTCATTGGTCTGCCCTGTGCCCCCTCCCACATCGTCCATTTTGGAATCCAGCAGAGAAGAAAACTCTTAGACTCATGTCCTGTGGACAGGCTGGATGTGTGCCTTTCATTTAAAAACTCCTCTAAAGGAGAGAGGTTTTAAAGCACTGTTTCCCCTCACCCCACCCCCACACTGACTTCCAACTCTCTATCATACTGTGCAGCATTCTGGGTCTTCCTATTCTTTGTCTATTCTGTGTGGCACAAGAATCTCTCTTTTTAAAGGCTCTTTAGGTTTTCTTTACCTTTATCAAAGAACGCTCTTGGAGCTTTAAAACCCAACCACAGCTATCTTCCTGAATATTTCTGTGGGGAAGGGATTAATCAAGCCTGTCAAACATTGAGCTGTAAAACCTTTAATATTTCTAAAAGGTTTAAAGCCAGCATATTTATCACATGCATCATTGAGAATAATCTTTCCTTTTATAGAACAAATTAAATGTTCACTGTAAAATATTGTGGTGATGAGCACAGTGGGTGAAAGACACATGCAGGGGCCCAATGTGATATTGCAATGGAGATTCTGGTTAAATCTTTCCCTGACATCACCCTGCTAGAAGCCACCCATCATCCCCCACACATCTATTTATACGAATGCTTTATACTGTGGAATTCTAGAATCTTGGTGCTCAAAGAGAAAGGGGCTGATATTTGTTGAGTGCCTGCTATGTCACGTATTGTGTCTGCATAGTTTAAGTGGGTTTTCACATTTTAATTTTCAAAATAATCCTTTATAATAGGTACTGTCATATCTGATTTATAGATAAGGAAGCAAAGATTCAAAAAGTGAAGCAATTCTCTCAAGATCACATAAATATTTATTTGCAAATCTGGGACTTGACCCTATGCCTGGCTAATTCTTTCCTTCTGTTTATGTGGCAAATGCCTAGGAAATGTTTAGCAGAAGGTAGGTACCCACTGAAGAGTTACTAAAGTTATTATGACTGTTAGAAAGTCTCTGGAGATTTTTATTGAAAGATCATTATTCTACAGACAGAGAAACAGTGAATATTGTTGTGCCTGATTCTGAGAATCTGAGATGTCTAACCCAGCAGTAGTGGCAGTGTTCCCTAGGATAGGGAGAGACTCACTTGGGGCTTTTGATTACTCTAACTAATACAAACACTGTATTTTGTTATTTATAAACTGCTTTCATGTGCACAGTCTAATTTAATCTACTCAACAGCTTAGTGAAGTAAAGTCAGCATTACTGCCATTTTACAGATAGGGAAACTGAGGTGCAAAGACATGATAAATCATGCCCAGGTCATTCAACTAGAAGCAACTTATGCTCCAACTCCATTCTTCTTATTTCAAAGACACCATCTTTCTACTAATATTTTAAAACTGTTTAGTTATTATTCCTAAGAATTCAACAAGTAAAATAGAGGTTTTTATATTTTGAAATTTTATTGATATAAAATGTACAATTTCAAAAGAGCACTTTAATGGGTGTTTTGATACTGGATTTCAATTTAATACATTGATTTGGAGTCTTTTGCAAACATATTCTTTTAAAATATCTGAAAGAGTTATATGGTGCTTGAGCAAGTATCCATAAATAATAAGTTGTTCAGCTTTATTCAGTTGTAATTGACAAAAATATAAAGTTTTGAAGCTTGCAAGGACCTTAGAGACTGATGACTCTTGTTTTTCGATTCGATAACTGAGGTATAGACATTGAAAGTAGTGTGACAGAAGCCCAGGCAAAATACTGGGATAACGGAGAACAAGGATACATTCATTCCGATAGGGATGGGTGGTATGAAACCATGGAAGGCTTCACTGAGGAGGTGACTCTTGATGGTGTCCTGAAAAGAGGAGGATTTTAATAGGGTGAGAAGAGTCAACAAGTGAAGCTAGAACAGAAGAAAGGAATGACAGTGTATGAAAATGACAACATGATGGTTCTATGGGCGGGGGCCCTTCGTGGAAGCTCAAGTTTGTTGTTTCAATATAATTAGTTGTATAATTGCATTCCCAGACTGTCACATAGGGCTGCACACACATGTAATTAGACCCCCTACCAGCCAGACGGTGTCTTCTACACGCCTCCACTTTAGATCTCCAGCTTTGTAGCAGAGCAGGCAACCAAAAGAGAGGTCCTGAGGCTGGGAGGATTTGCAGTTCCAAACTCACCTCTTCTATGAGCATACCTCTCTGTGTTTGCCAAAGGTACTAGGGGGGGTAGGGGGGAGGGGGAAACAGACAAAAGACTTAGAAGGAGGAACAACTTTCTCTTCCTAGGTTACTATGAATACAATGGGCCCATTTCTGGAACTGTTGGGTGGGCGAAATGTTTCACCAGTTTACATTTAGCAAACTGTAATTAGCGTCAGCAGGAGAAGAGAAATGACTGTGTTGGGAAACTCCACTTTCCTCTGTGCAACAGCCTCTGTTCAGAAGGGCTGTTCCCTGCGTTTGGGCTTTTGTGATGGGGAAGCAGTGTACAGCTGCCTTATATAGTTGCAATGGGCTTGTTCTGGGGATGAAGCTCTTAACTGCAGCAGGGGACAGAGGCCAATGGAGGATCCTCTTCAAATGGCAGAGTGAATCCTGCTTAGGTGTCAGCCAGGTGGAGTCACTGGGCTCTTGTAAGGTTTCATTCATTCCATAAATACACATAAGCCCACACCCACATAAACCCTACTGTGTGCTGAAAACTAGGCTTGATTTTTAGGAGCTACAGATCCCCACAGGCCTCTGTGAAAGGGCATGCTGGCCAACCACAGATTAATGGCTAGATACACAAAGTGCCATCTGAGGCTTCTTAGTTTGGGGACCCTTGAGTGAGTAAATCGCATACTCACTGTATTTGTTAGGATGAGTAGTGCTAGTCGCCTTAACCAACAACATGATTTTAAAAAGTTCATTATGATACTTAATACAACCGTTCAGAAAGCTAGGTTTCCCCATCTTATCTGTGTCACCATCATCTTCAACATGTGGCCTCTAAGGTCTTTGAAGATGGGGAAAGAGAGAGGAAGATCATACTTGGGAGATGTTTAGGGACCATTTCTGGAAATGGCAGACAGCCCTTCCACCCATATTCCATTGGCCAGAATTCAGTTATATGGCCCAATTTAATTGTTAGGGGAATGTAAATGTAGCTTAGCTATGTGCCCAGGACAAAAATGACATAGATGAAGAGATGTCTGCACTCCCATGTTTATTGTAGCAGTATTCACTATAGCCAAGACAGAATCAACCTAAGTGTTCATCAACAGATGAATGGATAAAAAATGAGATATAGATACAAAATGGAATAGTATTCAACCATAAAAAAGAACAAAATCCTGTCATTCACAGGAAAATGGATACGCCTGGAGGACATTATATTAAATGAAATAATCCAGGCCCAGGAAGACAAACATCACATGTTCTTACTCGTATGTGGGGGCTAAAAAAGCTTATTTCATAGAAGTGGAGAGTAGAACTGTGGTTACTAGCGGCTGGGAAGGATGGAGGGAGGAGGGAATAGTGAATTTGGTTAATGGATACAAAATTACAGCTAGATAGGAGAAAAAAGTTCTAGTGTTCTACAGCACTGTTGGGTGACTATAGATAATATTTTATTGCATAATTTCAAATAGAAAGGATTTTAAACATTCCCAACACAAATTAATAATAAATGTTTGAGGTGAGAAATATGCTAAATACCCTAAGTTGACCATTACACATTGTATACATGTGTCAAAATATCACTCTGTACCCCATAAATATATATAATTATTGTGTCCATCCAAAATAATTTTAAAAAGTGAAACAGACATAGTCTTCCTAACATGTTTGATTAAGCTCAGTTCCCATTCAAACAAATGCAAGATCATCTAAAAGAATTACCCTTTATTACCATTTTGAGGAGCCTTTCCAGGAAAAATGCTCTTCCAGTGTAGAATGGAACTCAACCAGTGAGAATTTAATTAACACAAATTGTCTGGAAGTGTCTGAAATGACTTCATAACTCTTCAGTCCAGAATTCCTCTTATGGTATTCGATCCTAAAAATAGAAATAACAAAAATTTGTGAATAAAAATTTGTTTCCACGTTACTTGCAATGTTGACAAAAGGCAAACAATCAAAATTTCCAAAAATAAGAAAAAGATTTTACTGAAGTTCTTCACACTTAAATAATGCAGTCATTAAATAAAACATATTTCTAAAGAATTTTTCATGTTGTTATTGACATATGGACATAAAGATAGGCTTCAGAGCTTTATATACAACAGGATTCCAATTTTGTTCCAAACATATGTTTAGGTGTGTAATTATAGACACCCGAAAAGACTAAAGACAGTGCGTTAAGATATTAAGAGTGAACCTCTCTACATAGCAGGATAATAAGGGTTTTTATTTTTCTCTTTATATTTTGTTCTTCTAAATCTGATACAGTGATGAGTATGTGTAACTTTTGTAATTATAAAAAATAAATCGGCCGGGCGCGGTGGCTCACGCCTGTAATCCCAGCACTTTGGGAGGCCGAGGCGGGTGGATCATGAGGTCAGGAGATCGAGACCATCCTGACTAACAAGGTGAAACCCCGTCTCTACTAAAAATACAAAAAAAAAATTAGCCGGGCGCGGTGGTGGGCGCCTGTAGTCCCAGCTACTCGGGAGGCTGAGGCAGGAGAATGGCGTGAACCCGGGAAGCGGAGCTTGCAGTGAGCCGAGATTGCGCCACTGCAGTCCGCAGTCCGGCCTGGGCGACAGAGCGAGACTCCGTCTCAAAAAAAAAAAAAAAAAAAAAAAAAATAAATCAATTAGGATTTTTAAAAGATGAAGCAGAATGAAGAATGACTTTGGACTAGGACTGACTCAGGATGGAGAGAATTATCCCAAGTGCTTCAGGTGGGAACAGCCAAAGGGTGTGTGTGGGAATGTCCTAGAATTGTGTCATATCCAGAGAGGGAGCTGCAGGGTGGGGAACAGAGTGTATCATAATGGTCAAGACTTACGCAAACTCAGGGCGCCCACAACAATTTCCTTAGCTGGGACAGAGGGTACAAATCTTAACTTTAGTTGGCTTTCAAAACTAGGCAACTGAACTGATTAAAAAATTCAAAACTGGGGCAGTGGGTTCAAGTCCTGGCTCTTCTAATAACCAGCTCTGTGGCTTTGGGCATGTGTCTTAACCACTCTGAACCTCATTTGTAAAAGAAATAATACCTTCCTTATAGTATCACTGTGACACTAAATGTAATCATATTTTCAAGTATTTAACACATGTATACATATATCTATACATACATATTCACACACACATATATACACACACACCTAGACCCTTCCCACCAAGTTTGGAGGGGTGCACTTTGGGATAAAGCCCCTTCCTCACTGCAACTTTTCATAATCCTCTCCATGCTTCATTTCCAATCCCTATCCCTATCCCCATAGTACCATTACTAGGACCACCTGAAGTTTTAGCCCAGAGGCATCTCCTCCCTGTGACCTTCACCTGCAATTTGGAGATATTCCTCTTGAGAAGTTTCTCCTGTCTTCTTTTCTTGGTGAGTTCAGTTTGGCTTCTAAGCAATCGAGGCCCACTGTATGTCCAGCCTGCATGTCAACTAGGAGAAACGTGAAAAATCCTAAACTAAATGTTCTAAGACAAATATCCAAGCAAAATAATAGAAGGCAAAGGGATTATAGGGTACCGTCAGATGTGTCTGGGTGAGAGGGCACTCGGGCTGTGACACTGCGCAACGCTACAGAATCAGAAAAAAAGGAAATGCAGCCCGAGACGCTGTGACTTCACACCCTGCTGCTTCAACATGAAGTCCTGAATCATTTTCCCAGTTCTGTCTGAAGCCAGCCTCAACAGATCATCACAACAATCACCTTACGTGATGAACACATATGTGTGCCAGGTACTGTGCACAAGATTGTCACACCTGATACATCTGGCTTTTTCATATCATCGTGTTTCTTCCAGTGGGAGTTTTGTTTTTCTCCTCAGCTGCCTCCTTTTTTTATCCTTCTGGGGACATCGTTATTTATATGGCTACTAAACTGAGTAAAGATGCAACAGGAGTTCCTAAGAAGGTACTATCCAGATGTGTTATGGTTGCCTATATTCTCTTTCCCTGCACAGTTGAAGAGGACAGGTTGGCTGATGAATTGGTGGGTCCTTGAACATTCAGCCTAAAGGTCTTGAGCTTAGTTTAAATAGTGCTCAGTGACTTCTAACAAAAAAGAGCAAGAAAGAAAATTCTTCTGTTTCCAGCTTAGAGACTTTCCCAAATTCGAGGCTGGTCACTGATTTATGCTGCCAAGAAGCCTGTTGCTGATTATGCTGGATGCCCCATAAATTAATGAGAGCTGGACTTAGCAGTGACAACGATCGCTGAGTCTGTGGAGCAGAAAATGCAACACTAATATATATGTTTCAGAAATGTCCTTTTGTCTATATGTTTGGAGGAGAAAGTGCTGATGAGGATCAATTTCATATTGACTTTAAATTTTTCATTTGACCCAGATCTCTTTTTATTAAGTAATGCACATGAGAACATTTCATCCCAGGCCAACGTGATGGCTTGGAGAATTCCCTTCAGAATACGGCAACCTGGATAGAATTTGAAATGCAGTTCATTCATTTATTCTTTTATTCATCCTTTAATAATTATTTATTGAGTACCTGCTATGTGCTTAATTCTAAAAACTATGCTAGTCTGTCAGCAAGACACAATCTGCCCTCAAGGAATCTAAAGTCTAATGAGCTAGACACACATTAATAAACAATCCTGTCCCAGAGCAGTATGTTTCATTAGCAGGAAGTGCAGGTATAACGGAAGCACAGAGGAAGGACTCCCAGAAGGTATCAGGTACTTGGGAAGCATTTAGTTCTTGTTGAAAGAATGAATGAGTGGATGAATGAATGAATGAGATGGCCCTTGAGCTGAGTCGTAGAGCAAGGTAGAAATTGATTAAGCTGAAAAAGAGCTGAAAAGAGCTATAAGCTGAAAAAGAGCATGTTCAAAGGCAGCAAGGTGTGATGTTTTAAATATAGCTCAGGTGAGAGGGGAGACAGGAGGTAGGGCTCCAGGTAGTCAAGAACCAGACATAAGGAACTTGGGCATTAAGTCACCATCTATCTGTGCAAATAGACATACTTGTAGATGGCAGAGCGGACCCAGGGGGCCTTACACCTCTTCAGAGAGCAGGCATAACCACACAATAAATGGTTCATCTGGAGGGATTATCTTCAGTGCTTAGTTTGGAGATTCAGTAGGTAGTTGAGCTTGCCCTCTCTGGACACTTTCCTGAAGAGGCAGTCCAGAAGAACCAAAGCACTTGCTCTGAGAAAGTTTCAAAGCCGGGTTCACCATCTTAAACTAAGCAGTGAATGTTTCTAGAAGCATGTATCCTGCTTGCTACAAATCCCTGCTGTGTCTTCAGTTTTGTCTGAATGTTGGGACCACGTTGTGAAATCTTGTATTTATTGCCTTCCTGCACTCTCTTCAGCTTGCATTTCCCACATTCTTAGTTACTGTCTGTATGTTTGCTAGTGGTGCAGTTTTGTTCTGTTTTAACCTTGTTTGAACCCTCAAGCCAGTCTGGGAAAATGTGACCATCACTCTTCTGAGCATCTACCTCTGGGACGTGGTCCCAGGGCTTTGACTCACAGGTTAGAAATCTTGTCATGCTCCCCTGAACTTGACTCAATGGCTGCAGTGGCCTGGCTGATTTATGGCTGTTTCTTCCTCTGTTTGATCTTAGCAAACAGACAGCTGTGATGTAGCAGCTTCATTCTACTCACCTGCTGGCACCTTCATGTTTGGTCTAATAGCTTGTTAACTGCTCTGAGGACAGGCACTGCCCTTCCTGGCTACCGTCTAGAGTGGTCTCTATGGCAACCACATCACATCAGGGATGATGCTCATTCTTCAAGGTTTTCCTTCTCCATTTTTCTCTGGTGGCTTCTGGGTAACCTGTAATGGTTGGAGCCCTGCCTCACCCTGCCAGGAAGCCACAGCTGATTTAAAGCCTTGCAAAGAAACTTAACAAGACACACTGCTTTCTTTTGGTCTTGTTGCTTGTTCTGTGTTGCACTTGGTCCAGGCCTGCAGGGACTTGTCATCCCTTCTTTATCATCTCTCTTTTTGGTGTTCCCCAGGTACTGTTCACAGTCTCTCTTGGAAAGCTTTGACATGGTTTCTCCAGATATCTGTGTTCATTAATATCATACAGCAGTCCCATCTGAATCCTGACATTCGGTATGTTCTTTGCCTCATCTACCTTTGTTTACTCATTCACTCTTCTCTTCAGCAGTGACTCCCAAGCTCTCTGGTCTTCATCTGTACCAGAGACTTGTGTCAAAGAGACTCATGTAGACTGTTCAGACATAATATATGAAGAAAGAACTGATTTATGTGTGATAGGACTCTAGAGTGTTCAGTCTGCCAATGGCATTCAGAGTCCAGCAATAATAGTATTAATAATAGCAAATACTATTATATACAGTATTTATATACAATAACTGTGCATAAATAGTATTATTGTGATAAGAACTTTACATCTATACAATAATCCTATAAGACGAATACTCTTATTGTCCCCATGAGGAAACTGAGGCACAGAGGGCTAAGAAACATGCTGTAGAGCCCCAGCTATTAAATGGCAGAGCTAGAACTTGAACTCTGGCTCCAGAATTTATGCTCTTCAACCCTTTGCTATACATTGGGCAGCGAGATTGTTTTCTGTACATGTGGTCCCGCCACCAGTAATCACTTACTTCTGCAAGGCTAAATTGTACCCATCTACAATTTCAAGATTAAATGCCACCTGCTTTGTGAAACTACTTGGCTTCCTCTACATTCAAGATGTAAATTCATTGGTTCATTCAGCAAACATCAAAAGATAGTGATTATAGCTTATTCATTCATCTACTCCAGTACAAGGTTTTTTCAAGTTCTTTCAATGTTACCTTGCTAAGTGCTGTGGCTATGATGATGAATAAGGAGCAAGCAGACCCTGCTCTCACCCTACTCATTTTTTAAAAAAGAACAAGACAACAGAATATAGAGTTAGCTTTATGCATATAAATATTGATATCTCAGTAATATTTATATATCTTTGTTTGTCTTTCAATTTATTGATCAATAGATATTAAGAGATTTTTCAGTCAATTCCTCCTGCCTGTTTATATGATAAAGTTCACCTCCTTAGCTTGACACCTAAGACCCTTTATGATCTGGCCTTAGATTCCTTTACTTAGGAATCTTATCTCAGATTCCTCTACAGTCTCCATCTGGAGGCTGAACACTGTAGAGTCCTATCACACAAAAATCAGAACAGGGGGCTCAGTTCTTGCCTCTTGTTCTCTAACCATCCAGTCCAGACCTAGTCTCCCAGAAAGTGTTTACTCATTGGAAACTATCCAGGCCCAATCACACCACCCTGCTTTGGCTCAGCCTTTTTCTGTACTTCAAGTTCCCTTTTCATACTTCCCATTTCACATTTCTTCTTTTCCAAACCCTTTCCAAACATGAAGTCCAGGTTTAAACATCCCTTCTCTATGGAACATCCAAAATCATCTTCTTATTCACACTCCCGTCAGTGAGGAATTAATCAATCCTTCCTCTGGGCTCCACAACACTGACCATACCCCTCTGGTACAGCAGCACCTCCAAACCCAAGGCCAGCTGTCCGTTACATGTTGTTCTCCCAATGGGGACTGCGGACCCCTTGAAGATGAGGAATGGGCCCTATTTCTTGCTGCATTCAAAGAACCAAGCACAGTGACCAGTGGGTAGTTATCTTAGTCCATTTGAGTTGCTATAACAAAATAGCAAAACTTAATAGCTTATAAACAACAGAAATTTATTTCTCACAGTTCTAAAGGCTGGGAATTCCAAGATCAAGGCTTCAGCAGATTTGGTGTCTGATGAGTATCTACTTCCTGGTTCATAGATATACCTCTCACTGTGTCCTCACGTGGGAGAAGGGATGAGGAGTCTCTTTGTGGCCTCTTTTTATAAGGGCACTAATTCTGTTCATAAGGGCTCCACTTCCATGAGCTAATTATGTCCCAAAGTCCCTGCCTCTTAATACCATCACATTGGAAATTAGGTTTTAACACATGAGTTTTAGGAAAACATATACATTCAGATCATAAGAGTGCTAGACTTCTATTATAGTATTTAACTATTAATAATAATAACTTTTAAAGTATTTGATTGCCATCTACATCTGGCATTCTGATAAGCATTTCATTTCATTTTATCATAAGAATCCTACAGTGTAGATTATGATATATACAATTGTTAACTCCATTTTACAGATGAGGAAGCTAAGGCTTAGAGACTATACAATACCTGCTCCAAGTCACAGTCCCCTAAATAGCAGAGTCTGACTGGATACCCTACACTTTGGTGTCTGTTGAATGAACAAATAAACTTACATCTTGAGCACAGAGAAAGGAAGTGATCTAGGAGAGCTGTCACTCCTGTAGTGCATATAGTTTTATACACACATACCCATACATGTATACACTCAGTTATGTAATTCAGTTCCTAAATATGGAAAAGGAAACCACAGAAGGATTCTATAAAATTCTGATAAAAAGACCACCAGTTGCAAGCTGCATATTTTTACTTTTTGAAGAAGCTGTCTTTGTGTTTAGGTGAAGCTGTTGACAAACCTAGAGCAAAACTGTCTTTTAGATGCTTATAAACCAGAAGGGTTAGAGGTGGAGTCCATAAAACCTGTTAGGATCCCAGCTTTGCCATGGTTTCTATGTGACCTTGAGCAAGACACTTAACCTTGCTGAAGTTTAGCATAGTGATTGATGCGCAGGTTCTACAATCAGATGACCTGGTTTAAATAACCCAGCTCTAAGCTTACTAGCTGTGTGATCTTCGGAAAGATAATTTCTCTGGGCTTCAATTTTCCCATTTGTAAAATGGGTACAATGTAGTAATAACATTTATCTCATATGATTGATGTGATAATTAAATAAATCAATTCACTTGAAGGATTTAAAACAGCACCAGATACCCATGAAACTATTATTACCTCTTAGATAGTTATACCTCTTAGATAGTTATATCTATTTCTGTCATCAGATGTTAGACATAATTCCCACAACATCAGAAGACATTTCTGTCATCAGATGTTAGATGGAGAATACACACCCCTATCTTTCCAATCCCTTCATTGGTGATGAGGAGGAGGAGGGTGATATTGCTGCTGCTCCTCCAAAGAGGCAGGGATCCTGGTATATCTCGTTCACAAGGAAAGCCCATGGCTGGCACTTTTAGGTGCTTTATGATTATCTGTTAAAGCTATTGTCAGCCATTTATTGAATGGTTTACTGTTTTGGGGTGCTATACTAAACGCTTTTCAAATATCATGAGAGTCTGCTTTGCAATTGATAAATTCTCCTTGCCAATGTCAACTCTTTTGTCTTTATCAGGATCACCCTCTTTTACAGATGAGAAAATTGAGACTTGGCAAGATGTGAGTTTGTCAAATTGTCAAATTGGGATACAAACCGATATGGTTCTGTCTCCTAGTCCAGTGTCCTTTTCTGTTCCCCATTCATTCCAGATTATAGT
Source organism: Homo sapiens (assembly GCF_000001405.40). Classification (NCBI taxonomy): domain Eukaryota; kingdom Metazoa; phylum Chordata; class Mammalia; order Primates; family Hominidae; genus Homo; species Homo sapiens. The sequence continues at coordinate 57,870,742 of NC_000001.11, read as the reverse complement.
AAATTTTGTCCAAATCATTTACTCATTTAGCACATTTACTGAGTATGTGCTGTATGCCTAGCAGAATCTGGGACCAGCCTCTGCCTCATCATGCTCAGTTATTTTGCTCTTACTATATACTGTGCATTCTTATATGCATAATATAAATTCATTTTTCATAACAGCTATGTGAGTTGATTACTCCTGCCCATATTGCAGATGAGAAAACTAAGCTCAGAGAGGTTAAGTGAATTTCCCAAGATCCTGTAGTGGAAAGTGCTAGAGCTGAGATTCCAGTACAAGTCTATGTAATGCCTAAGTCCATTGTCTTTCCACCCATCACATTAAATGCTTCCTCCATCATTCTCCAATAAAACGGCTTCTTAGTTGTATTCCAGCCACCTCCCTATTAGGCTGGCCCCATAACTCTATGCAGCCCCAAGTGCAGAGCCTAGAATGAGGCTGAAGATGTGTTGGCACTCACGGACAGGACCAGAGTTTTCCACAGCAAATACCTAGACATACACATAGGTCTAGGCTAACATTTATTGAGGGGCCTAATATTTAATGTATGCCTCCTGTATGCACCTGGCCTTGCATATGCCACTTAGATATAGTATATTTCATCCTCATATCAAACCTGCAAGGTAGGTATGATTGCCCCCATTATACAGAGGAGGAAACAGAGGCTCAGAGAGGGTAAGTATTTTTCCAAAACTCATCCAATTTGCCTAACTCCAGCACATTGTCCATTCCTCCAGACAGCTTCAGAGAGAGTTTGACATAGTCCGGGAAGAACTTAATTGAAAAAGATGCAGCCCAAGCTGCACCTTGGAAAACTTCTCATGCAGCCAGGATAAGTATACTGAGAGTCAGTGAACATGTTATGATAGTTATGATTAGGTTTCCATGTACTTCTCAAATCAGATGTGTAAATATAATCAAGAGCATTTCTCTTTGCAGCACAGACCTCCAACAGATTCTACCCAGCATCCTAGTTCTGAGAGAAGTAATAAATTAGCTCTAATTAGCTTTCCCACATGCTGAAGCAAGTTTCTCTCGTCACCACTTTGCAAACAGGAGAGAGGGAGACTCCATTGGACTTCTAAGGAGTGTGGTCTGTGGTAGTTAGGAGGGTAGCAGGCCTAGCTGGCACGTGACTTTGACTTCTATTACCTTGTGCGGCTGTGGACAAGCCATTTTTATCCTCTGGCCTTCATTTTTTCCTTATGTAAAATGAGGAGCTCAGAGTAGGCTTCTTCTCCTCTTTCACAGAAAGAGCCCATGACTCTACTGTCCTGGAGAATTTTCCAGCTTGAAGTGTCAACTTTGTTTGTGCATGAATAGAGTTATTGAGTACCTACTATTTATCAGGCATTGACCTTGAAACTGGAGATACAAGGATGAACATTAACTTGGTTTTGTCTGTAGGAAACTTCCATTCCAAAGTGAGAATAATAATAACAGCTACTCATTCCTAAATGCCAGGAACTTAGCCATGGCCATTAAATACATTATCTCATTTAATCCCTGCAGGTAATTGTTGTTACCTGCATTTTACCCATGAGGAAATACTCTCAGAGACGAAGGATAAGTCACTTTTCCTTAGTTTTACTGGCAGTAAAGGATGGAACTGTAATTCCAATTCAGAGTCTGATCTCTTATCTACTAGATTATATTACCTTGCCCATAAAGAGTTGGATATCATAAAAGAAATAGAGATAACAAGTCTTAGGGAGGCCAGGAGATACTGAGATTTATTCCATCTGGGTGATCAGGGATAGCTTTGGTTAAGATGGTGTTTGAACAGAACCTTGAAGGAAAAAAATCTTGAAGGCATCAAGATGCCTTCTGAATACATGAAGATGGAAGAAGAAAAACAGTTTAGGTGGAAGAGTCAAGACACAGAGGTAAGAAAGGAAAGCACTGGGTACCAATAAGGAAGAGTGTGTTGTATAGAGGAAGCCTAGCAGAACATGACCCTGGGCTCTATGCTACATTCATTCAAAGGGCATAAAGTGCCTACTATGTGTCAGGCACCGTGATAGCCTCTGGGAATAACACTGAGAACAATACAGAGTCCACATCCTCAAGGAACTCAATAGTCTACTGCAGTGGTTCTCAACTGGGGGCAATTTTGCCCCCCAGCTGACCTTTGGAAATGTCTAGAGATAGATTTGTTTGGGCTGTAAAATATCCTAAAATACACAAGACAGCTCTCCACACCACATAATTGTCTGCCCTAAGAGGTCAGTAACTCCAACGTAATGACAAGACCAGGCCAGCTCATGGGGAATTTTGTAGGCCAGGCTGAATAATTTGCCCATGCCTTTTTCAGATCAGATGGCCTCTGGCAACCAAAACAGCAGAAGTGACAACAGGAAAATCTTTCCATTGCAAATGACCTCCCAGCACGAAAGAAATCAGTCTAGTTGCTTAAGCAATTTTGTTACAGGCCTAGAACACCCTGAAAATGCTCTCCTACCACCCCTGGTTCAAAACCACGCAGAGCTTATGAGAATAAATGGCACACCAAAAGGAAATGTCAGATGGCTTCTTCCTTATTAATCAAATTAATAGTGCCTCTGCAGAAATTCTGCATAGCTGAGGAATTTATTACAAATTACCTAATCACTTCTTTCTCCCATGAAAAGTAAATAGACTGAACCATGCCTAGCCCTCTGATCCTGAGTATTTCAGTGTACCAGAGCTGGGCTGGAGCTTTTCTACTAAGTTAAGCAGTATTTACTGGACCTAGCTAGCGAGTATCACTGTGGTGGAACTTTACTGCATTTGAAAATGCAAGTCCACTTTTCATGGTTATCTCAAGCACACCCCGTGCCATTCTGCTTTTCTAGTGCTGGTTAAGAGGAAAACAGGGATTCATTTGTGGCTGTGAGGAGACTTCAGATACCAGTCCAAGAAAGAAAAGATAATGACCAGGGCACTCTGCAGCATCACAGAAAGGGCACTGGATTTGCAATCTGGTGTGCTTGTTTGACTATCACTTCTGTCCTTAGCTGTGCAAACTTGGGCAAGCCATTCACTTAACCTCTCTGAACCTCCGTGTCTTTATCTAGAAAAATGGAGAGCCCTGGAATTATTCAGATTAATTGTGGAGAGGCAACGTGGCCACACCTAGCACAAAGCAAGCACTCAGAAAATTGTAGATGATGATGTCAGGTTGTTTTCCTACCCAGATCTAGCTTCAGAGATGTGGGTTGTGGCAAAAAAATGAGGCTCTGCTGTTGCAGTTTAGTTACTTTTTTGTCTATTAAGGGAAGAAGAAAAGGGAAATTCCTTGCAGACTAGCAGCTTCTTAGCAATTCATACAGTTCAGGCAATGTCTCTGGGTCCAGGCAGAGGCTGGCAAGTGAGTTCTTGACAGATTGGAGGGAATAGGAAGAAAAATCAATTAAAAGGGCTTTTCAGTGAATGAGGGGTGGCAAACGCCAGGGTTAATCCCAAAGGGAGACCCATATTTCCCTAAGAGGCGAGGCCTTCCCTTTAACCCATTGGCACCACGAGTTGGAGTTTTCCGGGGTGAAGTCCATTACTGGCAATGGGCGTGCCGTGTGTGATTAATGACCGTGGTTATGGGCCAGTTAGCAACGGAGAGCTCCATCCATCTCACTTCATGGAAGCATCACACACCATTTATTGTCTGCAGGCAGGATGTGTTCCTTTGCAATTTGGTAAATGCCTTCTTTCTGAGTAGGTGTGGTGATTCCTGCATTGGTGCCCCCATGCCTCCACCTGACATCCAACAGAAAGGCAAAGGCTGAGAGAGCCCAAGAGGAAAAAGGTAGTGACCATGTCCAGTGCTATTTCATGACCTCAAATAAACTTGGCCCAGGAGCTTTCACCTGCTCTCAGCTACCTTCTTTCAAGGGGACATTCAGCCCAGGGAGTTCATAAATACGATGACTTTAAAGTCCATTCAAGGGAAAGAAGGAAGGGCACAGCATGTTAAACACAATCCTGTGCTCATTTTCTGCTATTAAAAGAAAGCCTTCAAAACTAATCTTAAAAATAATACCTGTCATTTGTGGAGTGCTTCCTCTGTGCAGACACTGTGCTGCCCTCATAAGAGCTCTGTAAGGCATGCCCGAATCATCCCCATTTACAGTCAGGGAAACTGAGGTGTCAAGAAGAAAAATAACTTCCTCTGGGTTAGATAGCTGGAAAACACTATGCTGAGACCCTCAGTCCTGCTCTAGAATTGTACTCTTCACTAAGGTGCTGTACTGAAATTCTGTCTCCATAGAAGAACATGAACCAGCACTCAAAGAATGACAAACTACAGATACATGGCCTTTAGGAAAACCCACCACACAAGAAGAAATGGAGAGCATTAATTTACCCCATAGTTACTTATTGAAAATCCACTATGGTCAGACATCGTGCTAAGTTCTGAGGATGTAAATGAATAGGAGAGATGGTCTCGGAGTTCACCCTGTACCTGTGAAGAGGAGCGGTAACAGTAACAACAGTGACAGCTGCTATTAGGTTGGTGCAAAAGTAATTGTGGTTTTTGGCATTAATGTACAGCTAATACTATACTAATTATTTTGTATACGTTATTGCATTTAGTCTTCATCATCAATGAAGAATGAGTCATAATTATCTGCATTTTATAAATGAAGAAATAGTGGCAAGAAAAGTTTGTGTCCCCACAAAATTCATATGTTGAAATCCTCTGCTCTCATGAATGGGATCAGTGCCCCTATGAAAGAGACCACAGGGATCTAGCTGGCTCCCTCCACCATGTGAGGACACAGCTGGAAGGCACCATCTTTGAATCAGAAAGCTAGCTATCATGAAACACCAAATCTGCTGGCGCCTTAATTTTGGATTTCCCAGACCCCAGAATTATAAAAAATATTCTGCTGTTTACAACCCACCCAGTATATGGCATTTTGTTGTAGCAGCTCATAAAGAATAAGAGAGTTTAAATAACCTGGCCAAGTTGATACAGCCAGTAGGTAGTAGATCTATGCTTTGAATCCACGCAGTCTAACTCTAGCTTGTGCTTTTAAAATACTGAACAAATAATTACAAATGTGTTGAGATTTCCTGAGAGCACGGCCGCGAGCAGATGGGGATAGTGAGGTGATGATGAGCATTTAGAACAGGAAGGACAAGTGCAGCCTTGGGGGAAGAGGAGAGAGCCAATAATGAAGAGGTGGGAGAGTTTATCATGCCCAGTGAACCTGTTTGAGACCATGTTTGAGACATAAAGGCCAGTGTTGCTGGAGTATTGACACCAAGAATGGCATGATTTGAAGTTGGGTGTGTGGCTCAGGGAGACCAACATATTTAGGGCCCAGTGGGCTGTGTTAAATTTCATCATATGGACCTTAAGCAAGAGAGGGAGGGGCTATGCCAGAAATAGCTAATTATCCACCAAAAAGTTGTGGTCTTCATTCTATAAAGTGCAGTTGTCCCTAGGGGCAGCTGTCTCAACAAGGACTGCCTTTTCTAGCTCCTCTCTTGTTTCCCAAGTGCATGCACATGATTATTTATTGCCAAGAAATGTGAATGGAAGTGACATGTATTGTTCCAAGGCTGAGGTTTTGAAGAGGCAGATATGCCTTTTCTGGTTTCTTTTTACATTTCTACTCCCTGGAAGGAGACATCTGTGAGCCCCTAGGTGATGACCAAGCCACAAGATGAAAGAAGCCTGCCTGGTTCCCTGAATCACCATTTGGCACACACCTCCAAGTGTACGGGATTTATTTGCAAACAAGAAGTAAACTTCTACAGGAGTAAGCCACTGTCATACTGAGGTTTATTTGTTACAGTAGCTAGCATTAGAATATCTAATTACAGGGACTTCTTTGGTATTTTAAAGATATCTTTATATAGCACTTTCACGGTTTACAAAGCGTTGTTTCATTACGAATGAGCAAGGAGGGGCTGGGTAGAGTGGTTCACACCTGTAATCCCAGCATTTTGGGAGGCTGAGGCAGGAGGATCACTTGAGCGCAGGAGTTCAATACCAGCCTGGGCAACAGAGTTCGATACCAGCCTGGGCAACATAGGGAGACCCTGTGTCTATAATATAAATAAATAAATAATTAAATAAATAAATAAATAAATAAATAAATTTTTTTAAAAAATAAGAAATTAGATACAGTACACATAACTGTGAGGTTAAGTAACTTACCCCCAATCATACTGCTGGAGTCTTCACAAACCCATGCACCCTCACTTGCCCACTGGATGCGCATAAGCTCAGGATCAAAAGTCAAGCAGTTCTGATAGATTTGAGTCTCTTCCTCAGCTAATTATTTGCTGTGATTTTTCAGCAACTTATGTAGTTTGTCTCTATTTCCTTAGCTATAAAATGAGAATGACACTAGCTCTTATCTTATGGAGTTGCTCTAAGCATTAAAGCTCATAGTCAAGATCATGGTACATAGAGAAGTTTTAATAAGAGGAAGAAGTTATGTTATTGTTATCACTACACCATTATGGAAAGACTTACTTTAGACTCCTACCATTACCCCCAATTCCCTAACAGGCCTTGTGTTTCTTCTCCAGAAGGGAGTCATCTTCCCCAACATCCACATGACACATGCTTGGTTCACTCAGGTTCCTACTCAAATTGCTCTTCAGAGGGCCTTCACAGACAATGTCAAATAGGCCCCTGCCTTGCCACCCACTCCTTACTCTGCTCTCCTTTTTCGTCCTAGCACACATCACCTCCTGATATTATAGAGTTTTCATGTATGTATTAATGTCCTATCTCATTCCACTAGAATGGGAGCACTTTGACAGCAGGGATTTTATCTCTTGTTCAGAGCTGTATCTCTGGCATCTAGAATAGTCTCTGGCATAAATTGGGAGCCCAATACACATTTGATGAATGAATAAAGGAATAAATGATGATTGTATCACATGTGAGCTATGTTCCAGGCCCTATATTAACTTCAGTTCTTGTTGTTTCTTTTTCTTTGGTGATGCCCTAGAGGATCATTCATCAATCCAAAGCTTATGTGCAAATTTTATTCTTTTTCTCCTCTTTAAATGCTACCCACTCCACCTCCAAGATCTCTTGTTTCTAATACATTTCCATAACACCTCTGTTCCTGAGACATGAGATCCGTAGCCTTCCCAGATTGGGTGGTGGGCCCTGGCCTCAGTGCCCAGCCATTCCTTGTGGCATTCATTACCAACACTAGAACACACACACTTTCACACCACCCAAGTTGTCAAAGCCTACAGATGAGAATTATCACTCAGTAAACTTGACTGGACTACAGGGCCATCTTGTTATATGATCACTTTTCCACCAAGACTTTTAAGTTCTATTGGCGTATTTGATGTATAATAAACTGTATATGTTTGAAGTATATAATTTGATGAGATTTGATACAGGTATACACCTGTGAAACCATCACTACATTTAAAATCATAAATATATCCATCATAGCCCAAAGTTTTCTTATGTTCCTTTATAATCTAACCCCCCTTACACATCCCCCATACACACCTCCCCCATACCCAGGCGACCACTGGTTTACTTTCTACCACTCCAGTTAGTTTTCATTTTCTAACGGTTTATAGAAATTGAATCATATGTATAAAATCTTTGGGTTCTTTATCTCAGCATAGCATTATAATTTACATCCATATTGTCAAATGTATTAATAGTTCCTTTTTATTGCTATTTAGTACTTAATTGTATGGATATACTATAGTGAGTTTGTCCACTCACCTGTTGGACACTTGACAAGTTTCTAGTTTTTAGCAATTATCACAAAGCTGCTACGGTCATTTGTGCACAAGTCTTTATGTGGGCATATGTTGTCATTTTCCTTGTATAAATACCTGGAAGTGGGATTGCTGGTTTGCATGATAGGTCTATTTTCAACTGTTTAAAAAGTTACTGAACTCATTTCCAAAGAAGTTTTAGCATTTTACATTCCTTCCAGCAGTGTGAGAGTCTCAGTGTCCCTGTTTCTTGCCAACACCTGGTTAGTCTGATTAATTTTAGTCAGTTTAGTAGGTTGTAGTGGTATCTCATTATGCTTTAGCTTGTAACTTCCTAATAATAAATAAGTGATTTTCAGCATCTTTGAATGTATTCGTCATCTTTATCTCTCCTTTGGTAGAATTTAGATTTTTAAGGAGTTATCTTATTTTAGAGTTGTAAGAATATCTAAAAATATTTTGTATAATCCAGAAAGAAGTTCACATAAATCTTTTTCAAATATTTTCTTCCAGCCTGTGCCTTGCCTTTTCAATTTCCTTTCCAAGTTCCCTAAGCGGAGCAGTTTTGTTTCATTCTCCCTTCGTATTCCTAGAAACAAGAACACAGCAATCTTTAACATTGAAAACGTTATGTAATTTCAGTTCAATGATGAGAAAAGCTCTAACTTTAAATACTTCATAGCCAAGCACATGAAAGGTGACTGTTTCCTCAATTTACCAATCTGCAAAATCAAGATAATATTGTCTATTTCATGAAGTTGTTGTGAAAGGTGACTTTGTTTCCTCAATTTACCAATGTGCAAAATCAAGATAATACTATCTATTTCATGAGGCTGTTGTCAGAATGAATAATAGTGAATAAATTACCCAGACCCGTGCTTAGCATATAGTAAGATTTCAGTAAGTAATAGCTTGATTTTATTCTGTAATCTTAGGGAACAGAAGTGAGACCAAAGGGTAGAAATCTTAAAGATTCAGATTGTTTGAATTTAGTGAATTATTTTCCATTGTAGTCAATTAATGAAATAAAATGGGCACCCATAGAAGTTGCTGAACTTCCCATCACAAGGAGCATTTAAGCAGAGAAAGCATAACCATGTGAGCAGGTTATAGAAGAGATTATTGCTACCTTCAGAGAAATACTGGACTTCTCATGTCTCTCCTATTCCTGAAAATGGTTTGGTTCTTGGTAGGAGATAATAATGACAATAGCATATCTTCATATTTAATACATATTATATATTATAGTATTTATAATACATATTATAAAATATACATATATACTATGTTATATATAATACTAGTAATTATTGATGATATAATATTGTGTGAAGCACTTAAAAACTATTCTATTATTTAATCATAATGACCCTTTGAGATAGAGGTAAATATTAGTTCTATTTAATAGATTAGAAAAATGAGTTCAGAGGTGTTAGGTAGCTTCCCTAATAGTACATGGCATGGAAAAGGAGGGCCTTGAATGCAGGTTGGCAATGGACTGAAAGTTTCTGTCCTTGTAGAATTCATATGTTGAAATCTTATTCCCAGTGTGATGGTATTTAGAGGCAGGGCCTTTGCCAGGTAATTAGGTCATGAGGGTGGAGCCCTCATGACTGGGATTAGCACCCTTGTAAGAAGAGGCTAGACAACTAGCTGCAATCTGTAACCCAGAAGAGGGCCCTCATCAGAATCTGACCATGCTGGCACCCTGATCTCAGGCTTCCAGCCTCCTGAACTGTAAGAAATATATTTCTCTTGTATGTAAGCCATCCAGTTTATGGTACTTTGTTATAGCAAGCAAGAAAGTACCATAAACTAAGACAAGGTCCGTCTGAGTAAAGTCCATGCTTACAGCCCAGGTGCTCTGTGGCCAGTGAGCCCCTGCTTACTCATAGCTATGGGCGAGTGCTGCTGAAACAAACTTTTCTCCAACACCTGTGTCCCTATATTCTCTTGCCTCCCCCACCCTCGGCTGTAGCATGTCTCTGAGTCAGTGGGAACGAGTATTTACATCTTGGTCCACAGCTGCAGAATTCCACTGCTGTTTGCTCAACAGGTCACCCCATGAAGTGGCCAAAAACCAAGGCTGCCATGCCCGAGGTCAGCTACCCAACTCACTCTCCACCTGGCAGTACCAGCTGGATCTCAGCTTCTTGAAGAAATGACATTCACCATCTCCAGTTGGAATAGGTCTTTCCTGGGCTTTTCCTTCTGGCATATGGAGTGTTGATTTGTTTTGGAAGGCCTCAAAAGTGGCAGCTTTCTCATCACACAGCAGGATGGAATGTCCCCATTTGGTGCCTGTCCATCCAGCCCACAATATTTATGCTGTTATTGCAAAGCTGTTGGCCCCTTAGATCCTAATCATCCAAAGACACTTTTGTGGCTTCTTAAAAAACTAGGCCTGTTCTTCTGCAAGCAAGTGCCTGCCTCACTGCCATCCTGATTACCAGCTCCTGTTGGCAAAAGAACCATTATGATGTGAACCAGATTGTACCAAACAGACGTTACCTAGCAACCAGCGGGAGCCATCAGGATTCATCCTTGTGTTCCAAACACTGTGTGGAATTCCTTAAGCATCTTGGACACAATGGAGACTAAAAGCATGCCATGAGGGAGCCTTAAGAGAATGGCTTTGGAGTCAGGCACACTCTTATGCAGTCCTGACTCTCAGTGACTACCGTGATCTTGAGCAAGTTACATAACTCTCTGAGCATCAGTTTCCTAACCCAGGAAATGGAGAACAGTAATAGCACTTACTTCATATGAGTGTCTCAAATGTAATATATGATGGAAAGGATAATCTTTCATACTAAGTAGGCATTCAACATATGTTAGTTCCCTTGAAAATACAATTTTTTTTCTATGTGTTACATTCGTGAAATACACAAACCCAAGCATCCAAAAGACCAGGATCCAGTTACCCATATCCTGTATTAGTAATTCACTGTGTCCTTAAGGAGGTCTCTTAACCTCTCTTTGGTTTATTTTCCTCATCTATACCATGGGGACAATAATAAGTGTTGTTCAGGAGCCCACATGAAATTAGGGATATGAAAAAGCTCTGAAGATCAGAACACAAATGCAAGAAGTGACCTAAGTCTATTGCCGATAGTATTTTCACTTGAGAGGAAGTTAGCAAAACTGAGAGGTTTATTAGAGGTCTTTGTCTAATAGTAGCTTTTACCTTCATCCAGGTATAGTCCTGGTATTCACAGTGGTGCAAGAGATATTTGAGATACATTGAAGTCCATGTGTTCCTCACTCGCTTATTTTTTCCCTTCAATCTCTCTGTTGATTTCAGGAAATATATTCCATCTCAGATACCAAGAGAGCCCATTATCAGGAAAGATGAAAATGTTTCAGGGAATGTAGTTAAACTAGTTAGTCTGGAAAAATTAAGGGTAGAACGAGCCAAAGGATGAATGAGAATTAGACAGCATTGTGCAAAGTTCTCAGATTTTGAAGTGAAGTAAAGATAGGTTCAAGTCCTCCTGGTCTACCACTTTCTAGCTCTGAGGAATTGTTAAGCCTCAGCCTTTTCATCTGTAAGATGAGCATATTATGATTTATTTTTGCAAGGTTGTTGAAAATATGGGGGGTTTCAGTGAATATAAAGTGCCTATTACGGCATCTGGCACATAGACTATCTACAATATAAGATATATATTTAAAAATAATTAATAAGAGCAATAATAATAACATATAGTCAGAGGGATACGGAGCCCAAACAAGAGGAAAGGTTCCAAATGTTTGGTCTGAGCAGCAAATACGAATCACTAATAGGAAGTAAATGCAAAAGGTCAAGAGGCAGGGAGATGAGAAACAAGTCAGCAGGCAGATTGATGGAGACAAATAATTTGGGGTCTAGGTTAGGAAATAGGTTTAGGTTTTGTAGCCCCAGCTGAAAGGTACAGACCAGAAAAGCCATCTCGGCTGCTTAGGGAAGTTCTGTTCTCATGCTTTTGTTTATACAGGCCATAGCTTTCTCCTTCAGGACTCAAACGACAACCCCCTGCAGAAGTGCCTGATGGAAAAATAGGTTCTTAGCAAGAGGAGAGGCTGGGATGCTCCGGGCACAGGGTTCTGACCAATGGCAAGTCTGCATTCCATACTTGGAATCGCAGCTCTTGAATGTCAGAGAGTGGGATTTCCCTTAAGAGTTGCCCATGTGACTAAGTACCCCTCAGGTTAGTGGACTGAACTGTTTCCCCAACTTCAGTTTCTTTGTAATCAGGTAAAATCTCAGCCCATCTAGAATGCCTTTTGGCCATTGTCTCACTGACTTCTTACCTCAGGGAGCCCAATTTGAAGGAGTTGCTGGAAGCAAAGAGAGAGAGTTTGAAATGAATTCAGACAGTCAGTTGTCAGCCAGAACTTTGGTGGGGGATGTTTCCCTGCTTGCTGACTGTGCTGGCTCCCTCAGCCACCCCCTAACAAGCACCTGGCCTGGCAGAGTTAGGAGGTGGAGTTCTGTGTCTGTTATTAATATCAATGATAATGGCTTTTTTTTTCTGTTAAATCTGAGTACTAATTATCATCTATCTACATCACAGAGTTCAGGGAAATCACAGAGCAGACTAAGAACAATACTACATATGGGTGCCTTACTTTGCAATAAGCTGGCTCTAAGAAAAGTGGTGTGGCATTCATCTGTACAAACAGTTGTCTTTTCCCTGCCATTAAGGGAGGAAGGTGTTGAATTCATGATGGTAATGGACATTCTTTAACCTACCAAGAAAGTTAGGGCATGCTATTTTATCATATGGAGCCATAATCTCCCAATAGTTTAAATAAGGAGGTGAACAGATAATTACTAAGGTTCTCTTAGATTCTAAAAAAAATACCCTTCCAAATGACATAATTGTCAACTAGAATCGAATGGGTGAGACAGTGGTAGATCTTGACACTTCCACAGAAGGAACCCATTCAACTCCTGAGTAACACAGTATATTTTGTGTGGCCTGCCTGGTTTTTGAAAAGTGACATAATTAAGAGTTAATAGACTCAGGATCTTGATCTTGTTCTCTCACTATTAGCTGTGTGTCAGTGAGTGAGTCACTTCCCCTCTCTAGGCTTCAGGGCTTTGTTTTGTTTTTTTTTTTTCTTTCTTTTTAAATTTTAAAAATAAGAACCTTGGACCAGATTACTTCTAAGGTCTTTTTTTTTTCTTTTTTCTTTTTTTTTTTTTGTATGAACATTCTATGATTCCATACTGATAAAACTGCAATACTTTAAAAATACTTATATTTTGACTACAATCTTAACTTTGTCACATCTTAAACATTTCTCTATAAAACCTAAGCCTAACCTCTAACATAGTACCTGATGCACAGCTAGTACTTAGTAAATAGTAGATGGTTGAATGGATAACTCCTGCCTACGTCCATCTTATATTTTCCACTCGTGGCAACTTTCTAACTGTGTGACCATTGACAAATTGCTTAATGTCTATAGCTCAGATTCATCATCTATAAAATAGAGGTAATAATAGTACCTGTCTCATAGAGTTGTTACAAGGATAAAATGAGTTATTACATGTAAAGTATCTACAACAGGGTCTGGCACACAGAAAGCTCTTTGTAAGTCTTAGCTATCATCCCCATCCCCATCATCACCATCATCATTACCATCATCTCTGCTTACTCTATTACTCTTCATACATGTATATTGTTTTCAGAATCTTCTCCAGATGCCAGTGTCATTTAGTCATTCAGAGATTACTTCCTTTCACTTTTGATGGTTAATCTTCTTTTGCCATATTAAAAATCAATCTAGCACTTTTTTCTCAGCACTTTGAGAAGTGAGTTTTTCCTTGTCTAACAATGCCCACTTGCCTTTTTTGTTTCTCTCACATTATTTCAAACTACTGTATCACATAGTTACTTTACTTCCAGGTGTCTCACTTCTTCTATACTCTTACCAACTTCTTTGGCTTGAACAAAGCCCTTCATTGCATCATCTCATTTCTGAGAGACACCACTAGTGATACAATGAACACTTTCCAAAGATGCTTGGGTTTCAGCTGAGTGGGGATCTCATCAGATATCTGCACAGGTCATGATCATCATGGCAGCATCCTTTTAATCAGTGAAAGTGTACTTATTGAGCATCTTATATGTGCCAGGCTCTGTTCTAGGTGCTAATAATTTCCGACCCTGAGTGTATCATTCACATCCCCATAGGTCCAGCCATCTGTTGAACACATCCCCATTGAGACCCTTCTGTTAGAGGTATAATCATTACTTTTAATTTATTTTTATTATTTATTTATTTATTTTGAGATGGATGCTCACTCTGCTGCCCAGGCTAGAGTGCAGTGGCATGATCTCGGCTCATGGCAGCCTCTACCTCCCAGGTTCAAGTGATTCTCGTGCCTCAGCCTCCCGTGTAGCTGAGATTACAGGTGCGCACCACCATCCCCAGCTAATTTTTTGTAATTTTAGTAGAGATGTGGTTTCATCATGTTGGCCAGGCTGGTCTCAAACTCCTGACCTAAGGTGACCTGCTCGCCTCGGCCTCCCAAAGTGCTGGGATTACAGGTGTGAGCCACTGCGCCTGGCACAATCATCACTTTTTATATGTGAACTTTTCATATGTACAGTAACTACTTTTATTATCAAGTGCTAGATGCTAGAAATAAAAAGCTGTGTGCAGCATACTTGTTGTCCTTGAATAGCTCTTCCTCTCTTAGGGAGCAGATCTATACAGGGATTGCAGCCCATCATGGTAAGGGCTCTAATAGAGGCACAGTGGCTGAAAAGAAGCATCCTGCTTCTCTGAGGCTACTTTTCTTAATCTATAAGGCGGGCATGATCTTACTCACCTCCTCAGACTCTTGTGAAGCAACCCCCCAGCTTCTTCTCTTTTCTAGCTACACTTCTCTTTTCTAGGCTCTCCAGGGGCCTCAGCCAGTCCCAGGGCTGTGGATACCGACTCTCTGCTGATAAGTCCCAGGCAGTAGCAGCTCAGACCCAAGTCTTGGTAATTATTCTCTACTCCTATGTTTCTTTCACATCGTATATTTATCTGACAGTAAATCCTGCCAACTCTATCATTAGAATATATTCTGATTCTTCCCTCTTCACATCCCATCTACTCTCATTCAAGCTAGCGTCTTGCCTCCTGGGACCTTTTCAGCAGCCTCCTAGGTCTCTATTCATTCACCCTTGTCAACCTGCAGTTGGTTCTCTCCAGAGCAGTCAAAGTAATAATTTCAAATTAACTCAGATCATGTCACTCCCCTTCTCAACCTCCTGTGGTCTCCATATTGTGCTTGGAACCCAAAGTGCTGTGCTGGCCCTACAAGACTATCATGGTCTGGCTTCCACCTACCACTTTTCTTCTTGTTCACTCTGAGCTACTGATTCCCTTATTCGTCTTCAAATGTGCCACCTCAGATGTGAAGACCTTTTCCCTCTTCCTCTGTTTCTTTGCCCCCAGGTATTGGTATGGCCCACCCTTCATTTCATTTCAGTCTCTGTCCCTATGTCCCTATATCAAAGACCGCTTTTCTAATACCCCAACCTGAAAGCACCATCACTATGTTCTACAAACTCACCTTCTTTAGTGCTCTTCATCACATCTATCTTTACCATCCATTATTAGAGTTGTTTATTAATTTGTGTATGAAATGATCCTTACCTAGAATGCCAGCTCCATGGGGGCAGGGACGTTGTCAGCTTTGTTCACTTCTATGTCCTCAGGGGGATATGGCCTAGGGTGGGCACTCAACAAGTATTTTTTGAATGAGTAAATGAATGAGGATTAAATAAGATCATATTTGGAAAACACCAAGCATCATGTGTTGAGTTGAGAATTGGTTACTTCTTGCTACCACTACCTCACTGCACCCCTCCCCCTCAGCTTCCTCCAGCCCTGCAGAAGTTGCTGTGCACTCATAGATGTCCTCACAGCCTTCTTTCTTTCAGATGAGAAATCAATCAAAATCCAGTCTCCTGCTGTCCCTTTTCTCAAGCTCATTCATTCTGAAATACACTGTCCTTCTGTGTTAGCAAGGCCAGGATATTTATTCCTGTGAGTTAAAAAGAAAAGAAAAGAAAAACTACGGAAAACCTAGTGACCATTTCATTTTACAATGAGTTGATAAGTTATTAATTTTTCTTTCATTTACTCTTGTCTTTGGAGATTTGTATCTAAGGTTCAAGCAGAATTAACCCACATGAAGAAGTCACATAAAAGGCCCTTTTCAGGGTGTCCTTGTTTTAAATTCCCTGTCTCTGGCATCATAACCGCCTTAGCCAAATCTTCCCCACATCTCCCAACACATAAATCTGCTCTCACCCATTAATGGAGCTCAGCACATTCACTCCTGTGCCAAGTTTAGTCTGCATATTAGAGATTGAGAAGCAACCAGACCACCAGCTTGCAAGCATCTGACTATTCCCAAGTGTGGTGGAAAGAGAAGGGCATTGGCAGCACAGACTTGGGCTCAAATCCAAGATTATCGTGTTCATGATCTTGGACAAATTGCTTACTGACTGGGACCCTCTGTTTTATCATCTGTAAACGATCTTCCTCAGGGTTGTTATGAAGATTAGAATGGAGGATCATTCAAAAAGTGTGTTACTTAGAGATTTGATGAATGCAAGTCTCACCCCCTTCCCATGTTGGGCTCTTCCTCTCACAATGGTGACATTCACACTCCCCCTTTCTGCAGAAACAGACCCATAGGCCCAGTAATGAGACCTTGAAGACATCCCATTCCTCTTCTCATGCTCATTCATTCTGAAATATACTGTTTTTCTGTTTTAGCAAGGCTGTAGTATTTATTCATCTGAGCTAAAATGAAAAGAAAAAAGTCAAGAAAGTGTAATTACCCTTAATTTTTAGACACAGTAGTACACTGAGTAATAATTATTTACTCAATTTGTGGAAGTGTCACAGTCTTAAAGTCTTAAGAGTTCCAGTATCATTTAAATTTTTTTAACTTAAAAACTACTTCAAAAGAACAGTCTATTTTTGTAGAAACAGTGCAGTATTTGCAGCATAGAGGCATTTAATATTTACTCTATATATGTGTTGAATGATGAATTAATAAATAAATGAAATAATGAATGAATAGATGTGTAATACAAGCAAAAACAGAGCTGCTCTGGTAAAAACAGATGCGGAGGTCTCAGAAGCCTGTATTCTGGGCCCTCCCTCAACCCAGAAAATAAACTTTGAAATGTGACAACCAGAACCTTCTCACCTCTTGTAACACAGTCTGGGTACCATTCATCTGGCCCAACACCATTCCTGTTGCAGACATATTTTTTTCTACAGGATTTTTGATGAGGTTATTATCTTGTTGCTTCTTGGGGAAAAAAATCAGTAAAGGGAACAACTCATTCTAGTTCTGGACAATTTGGAACTTTAAGAAATGTTTCATATTGAGACAAAATTGATCCATTGATTTTAGTTCACTTATTCATTAATTCATTTATTCGTTCATTTTATTAATTTTAAACACATGTTGAGCATCGATTCTGGGTCCTGCCTAAAGCTTCACTCTTACCATATACCTTTCTTTTTCATTTTAAATGCATTTCTTCTTATGGTGTCAATCACTGAAGATCAATGTAGATTTATACTGAAGGTTTTCTTGAGGAAAGGGAGAATCACATCACAAAATATACAGCAAAAATTTCTTAAAATGTGATTTCCAAATATTGAGCCTCTTGGACCTCTTCAGTATATCACCAACTTAGCTAACTACCTTCTCCTGTTAGCCACCTGGTTCTCTACCTTTCTTTCCCTGTTCATTCTTCTCCCAAATGGCTTTTTTTTTTTTTAAAGATAGCCCCAAACCCTTTCTTATGTATTTTGATCTAATAACCCTTTTCTAAGCTTCTACTTAATGCATCATCCTAACCACACAGAAGTTCTTCCTCATGGCCTGCCCTTCTTAGAATGGGTGGGAAGAAACAGATTGTAATTAATTATATGTTATTTTTAACCCTATGTGACAAAAACATTATAATTAATTATACATTTTTAACTATATTTGACAAAAAAAGGATAAACTGTGGTCCCAGCCCTCCAACAGTTAATTATCACACTTAGTATAGTGTAGAAAATATTAGAATTCACTCATTCAACAGATATCTATTGAGCACAAATTATGTGTCAATCACCTTTCTAGGTCCCTGAGGATACTGCTGTCACAAACAAAACAGTCAGTATTCTCTACCCTCATAGAGTTTCCATTCTGCAGGAGGGAGATAGAATGATAGAAAAATAAATAATAAGTGTAAGTGTGACAGATAATAATAAATGTAAATGAGAAACATAAAGCAGGGATGGATGCTGGGGCAGGAGGAGAGGTAGGGTTACCTCATTGCCCATAGAGCCATGTAGTGATTAAAATCTGGGACTGAGGGTTGACCTGGATTCCTGGGCTTATCAATGTGTGTCACATTATTCCTGAGGGCCTCAAGCAAGATGGCAGTGGTGAGATGTGGGGTGATGAGGAGGGTAGAAGTGAGGTCCATGGTTGGCCATCTCTGTTCTTCTGCCAGTGGTGATGTGGGCATTCACCACGGATGGTTCTCTCTGCATCCCAGAGCTCCTAGGATTCCTCCTGAATTTTCCCAGCAGAGGAAGGTGAGAAATATGTGGAGCTGTGGAAATACAGATGAGTGTTTAGAATGTAGGAAAGCTTTTGTACTTTCATACTTAGGTGCTATGAAGAATAGACAGTCATGTAAAAATGTGCCTGGACAAAAAAGGGTATGAAAAATGTTAATAAACTGAGGGAGAACCAAGCAAGGCCTGTTTGTCCAAGTTCTTCTTGGCCTCTCTGTGTGGCATTCCTTTCCCCCAGGGAACAGGGCAGGACACCTATCACATGAGGATCTTCAGGGGAAAAGGGAAAAGGTTAGGGAATGACCCTTCTAGGTTTCATGCTTTGGGAGAGAAATTCTAATTTATGTGACCCATCTCAGGGGAGAAAGAAGAGGAAGGGACAGGAGGGCCAGGGAAGGTCAGAAGGACCTTGTGCCTGAGACCCCCTCAGTCTCCTTCAGTTTGAAGTGCTCAGCACGCCAAGGCACTATGCTTTGGGGTATTGTGTTCTAAGCCCCAAGGGAGCAAAGAGGTGGGGAGAGGCAATTAGGAAAGACTCCTCAGAGTAGGAGACAACATAGGAGTTAGCCATTTGTGAATGACAGGGCAAAATGCATTCTGATGGCCAAAGGGAGCAGGAACCTAGGATGCAAAGTGAAATCAAGAGATACAACCAGAGAAACATAAGCTACTGTCATGAAGGAACTTGCATGTCATGAGGGATTGGAGCTTTCACACCACCAGCACTGGGAGAACATCAGAAGCCAGAGAATGAAATGCCCAGATCTTCAGAAAGACTCTTCTAATATCTATGTTTTGCAGGCAAAATGTCACATAGGAAGAATAGAAATGCTTCTTGCAGGAGCAAAGGCAGAGGGGAGTAGGGAAGGAGATGTGGAAACCCGCCCAGCCATCCAGTACAATCCCAGTACTCTTCTGCTCAGCAGCCCTGCAGCTATGCCAAGACTCCTCAGATAGCCTGAGGTCTTCTCTCCGCCAGACAAAACCTCTCAACTGCTAGAATCAGCCCACCTCAGAGGTGTGCTCTAGTGTGCTCTAGTATTTGGGGCTTTCACTGCTGGTTTGTGTCCTTTGTCTTCATTGTCCTATTGTCCTCTAGGCAGAAATCAACGTCAAAGTGAACAGGTGTTGCTAATGGTACTACAGACCAAGAATCAGGAAACAACAACTTCAAGGCCAAAATAATAACATTTTAATTGGAAATCTACTGCAAAGAGACTAACCTATGTAGATATATGCAAATCCTATGCAAATACACATGTGGTCTTTGTAACTATTGTCAGACCCTCGATTTGACCCATGGGAATTCTTAATGGTAGATGCTAGCATTCAGCTGAGGCTGAGGGCTGTTGACGAACAATTCTAGGTTTTACCTATGTTTAAACCATAATTAAGAAATATATTGATGGCAACCTGAAATTAATTAGCTTAACTGAATGTTGGAATTGATTGGGTCTTGAGAGAGCCTTGTCTCTGAAGCTAAGCCTTGGGGGGCTTGCAGGGGGTGGAAGGAAAACTGAACTTAAAAGCACCTAGCAGAAATGAAAAGGAATGGGCGAGGAGCCACTGAGAGCATTATTAAAGGGGAAAGATTCTTATCAGAGAGTTGAAAGAGGAATGCTTAAATTTCAAGTCACGCACAGCTGTTTTAGGTCAGACCACTCAGTCAAATGGGAAAAAAATGATGTTGGAAGGCAAGATTATGTGAGATACAGAGGGGGAGGCAGGCATTTGAGTGTCAGAGTGTATCACATTGAATGTGCCGTCACATAAGATGGAAGGGGTCCAGCCCGGCACTTGCAGGCCAGGCCTTGGGGCTCCCTCCAGAGCCCACAGGCCACTCCACAGGACATGGGAGGGGAGCCACAGCGACTAATGATCAGGAGTAAAGGATTTCCCCTATGAGGTGTGTCTTGTATTTTATTTCTTAGGCACTAATTATGTAAGCTATCAAGTTATATAATAAATGGTTTCATTTTCTCAGTTAAAAAAAAAAAAAAAACTACATTATCTGAAGTTACACAATCCTGAAATTAAATCTCACCTCTGCGCCTTTTTACAGCGTGTCCTTGGGCAAATTGCTTTGCATCTCTGAGCCTCGCTTTCTTTACTGGTCAGAGTACAGATCAAATCTAATGTGAAGGTAGAAAGGCACTAAGCCACTTTGGTACTGATTAATCCTTACCTTATGTTTGTGTGAGGTCCTATGATTTGTAAATTGTTGAGCTGAGGTGCAAATCTGAAGGCTTTGTTCCAAGCCTACATTCTTTCCATTAAAGGTTTCTGCTGTAAGACCCTCAGCCCCTCTGTCCTGGTTCTCTCCTTCTCTTCAGAGCAGCTTCTTGAGTTACTGTCCAGAGGCACTGTCTCCACTTCCTCCCCTCCCATTTTTTCCTGTCCAAGCCAGGTATCCCCACCTATGTCAACAGAGACCTAGCTGTTGAGTCCAATGTCAACCTTGCTGTCTGTATCTCACTTTCTCAGGACTATCGAGGGTCACTTCCCACATAAAATCTCTCCCTTACACATCTGTGACAATGGACTAATGATAAAAATAAACCAGGATACAAAACTTGAATTATGCTTCCCATTTTATTTTTATAATTATGTGCATACACATACATACACATCTCTATACAAAGGGAAAAGAAATTACTGTCAGGAAAAAAGCCAAAATGTGTTCAGATGTTAATTCTGGGCATTGCTGGGATTTTTCAAACTGTCCACAAAGGATATATTATTTTTAACTGGGAAAGATAAACATGGTTTTAAAAATGCTGCACATGCTAGGCTAGGAAGTCCATTAACCTGGGTCTCAACCTGCTCCTTAATGCCTCAAGCCCTGTCCCTAGAGAGGATCATTTCTTTTCTAAAAGTGGGAAAGTTTCTCAAGTTCTCCTTGCCTCCTGCATCCTGAGACTCTGTGAATCACGCCTTCAACTGCCAGATCCTATTGGATCTGAAATTCTGAAATTCTCAAGGACTGGAGAGCCTTCATTAGACAATGGCCTCTCTCTTTGCTTTATTTTGTTAGATTTCTCACTTCCTAGTTTGTATTTTCATTTACCAGGGTCTTGATATGGAGTTACTGTGAGCAATAAGGAGAGGCTGAAAGATCCAGATGGAGAATAAGAAAGGCAGGCAGAGATAGAGGCCAAGGAGCAGACAGGGCAGCACCTTCTTCATGCATTTGGTGTAGCAGTGAGGACCTCATACCTGACTCAGTGCTACTCTGGCCCTTCTGGTGCTTCTGCTGACCTTTTGTGAACATTCCTGGGGACATAGTGCTCCAGGGCTGGTATTTCAGAGAATGAACACCTTGGAGAAATGTAATTTCCCCTGTCTCAAGCATCCTGTCCCAAGTTTCAGCTGCAAGAGAGGCACATTTTCAAGAGAACAGCAGCCCACACTTGGAATATTACAGAAACAGAAGACTTGTTTTAAAAATTCCCTTGAAATAATATTTACCTTTCCACAAATATCGTAAGACATGACCTTCAATCTTGATGTAGCATTTTCTTCTTTCAGATGTGAGGATTACATCCTGGAGTGACGGGAATTCCAGGCCCTGTTAAGTGTCTAATCTCATCAGCACCCCCTTTGAAAAATAGGAATCATGTAGCTGCTCCCCA
This sequence comes from Homo sapiens, assembly GCF_000001405.40. Taxonomy (NCBI): domain Eukaryota; kingdom Metazoa; phylum Chordata; class Mammalia; order Primates; family Hominidae; genus Homo; species Homo sapiens. The sequence goes on along the minus strand of NC_000001.11, from coordinate 57,848,822 downwards.
TTACTAAACACTCACCTACCACCCTCCTGCCCATGACCACCACATGCAGCTTCAGCTCCAGCTCTAGACTAACCTGGATTTGGGGCAGTTCAGAATCAACTTAGGTTTCTTCAACCTTAGGTTATTTTGCTCCTGGTTTGGCTTGGACATTCCTGATCACTTCTGCATCATTGCTTGTGTTTGAGTCATTGCTCTTGGTAACTCATGTGATATAACAGCTACTTCTGTCTGGCCTAGACCTCTTCTTAACACAACCATCCCTGTCCCCAACTTCACAAGGCTGTGACTCAGTAGAAGTGATCCATCAAGATGTCCAAGTGGTTTTCTCCTTTGAGTTACTGATAAGTATTATATTACATTACTATATTTACCTGTGTAGTCCAGGATAAATCCCAGTTGATCATGATAATTCTTTAAATAAAGGATAAAATAGGTTTTCATATATTTGATTTAGAATTGTAGTATCTCATTTTTATGATTGGTTTACATGGTGTGTGTTCATGAGTGTGCATGTGCACATGTGTGCTATCTTGGTTAGGTTTAGATATCATTAGTGTCTAGATTCACTACATTGTGTTCGGAACTTATAGACTACACCTTTTGTCTATTCTGGTTCTTTTGAAGTTTTCTTTGTATCCTATATGATCACTTTGGATGGTCAATGTTTTAGAATACATGTCTTGAAAGGATATGCATTCTTTCTTTAAGGTTGTTTAACATAATACTTGAAAGGGGCAGGCTCTGGGGATCCCTGCCTTAGTTTCAAACCAGGCTTACTCTTACAGTGACAGTGCAACTGTTTTAAAATCTCAGGAAAATCAGTTAGCCTCCTTGTTCTTCAGTTTTCTTATCTTTAATACAGGGATAATAATCTCCTACTTTGTAATAGCCTTTCTCCAACATTAAATGAGGCAATAGTAAATATTTAGAACAATGCCTGGAGCATTGTAAGCACTCAATTAATATAGCTTTTAGTAATTTTTAAAAGATATATACATAACTTACTAATAATAGTATTCTATTTTTGTCTTTTTATTGTTCATTCAATATCAAGAAGGTTATTTCTATCATGATCTCTTTACATTTCTAAGAGTTTTTCTTTATATATTTTGACATTATGTAACAGCTCATTTCTTATTGTTTCTATCAATATAAAAATAACCTTCTTGGTCTCATATAATGCTTTTACCCTGAATTCTACTTTGAAATGTTCCCAATCACTGCTTTCTTTTTGTTTGTTTTGTATACTTGATAAATATTTGCCTAGCTTTCACCAATTCCCCTTTTCTCTCTCATTTTTCTTTTACCGTTTGTCTTTTGTAAGCAGCATATGGTTGAGTTTTGCTTTTAACCCAATCTGAAAGACTTTATTTTTTATTAGAAGAACTTAAACCATTTATATTTACTGTCATAACTGATATGTTTGGTCTTATTCCTGTCTTTTTGTTTTATGCTTTCTCTTCTTTATGCTTTCTTGGGACTTCCTTTGTTTTCCTTTTTTTTCTTCTATCTAGGCTATCTTATCTTTGTAGTTTTTTTTTTTCCTCCTGTGATTTAAAAGCTGAATGTCTGTTTTTAGCTAGTCCTGGGTAGAACTAAAAAAATCATCCCTGAGCTTATATAGTGACAGAAGTGTAATGGTAGGTAGGCAGCCAGGCCACTGAGCATGGAAGTCAATAAAATCGGTCTTAAACCTCAGAGGAATAGTGATGGCTGTTCCCTGAGCCACCTTATCACAGCTGTATAAAGCCCAAGCTCTGCAGCTCTGCATCATATTTCTGTGCTTCACAAGTGGGTCCCAGTCTGCTTATCTAGCCCCATCTCCTACAAGACTTAGTTAAGTACCATGTGCTTCAGGCATGTCACACTACCAACCATTTCCCAAACCAGACAGATTCTTAAGTAGGCATCTCCATATTGTGGTCCAGACTGTCTCCTTTTTGCCTGGAAAAACTCTTCAGGACCTAATGCAGATTGTTTGCGTGTCTGTGTGTGTGTGTGCACGCACGTGCACGTGTATGTGTTTCGTTCTCTTACTGTGCCATTCTTCCATAGATAGAATTATGCAGTAGAACTCACTGGACAAACCTGACTGGCTTTGAGTTCCAGTTTTGTTACTTGTAGTTCTAGATGCCCTGGAAAAAAAAACTGACATGAAATCAAAGTTTTCTCATTGGTACAATGGGAACAGTAATGTGTCTCCCTCAGAGTAAGGACTGAATAAAATAATGAAATCAACATGGAAAGACCTTAGCAGAGTAAACAGCACAGAGTAGGCTTTCAATGTATTTTTAATAAGTGAACAAAGGAGGGAAGAAATACAGGAGGGAGGAGAGGAAGCATTGATTTTTTTTTTTTTTTTTTTTTGATGGAGTCTTGCTCTGTCGCCCAGGCTGGAGTGCAGTGGCACAATCTCGGCTTACTGCAAGCTCTGCCTCCCGGGTTCACACCATTCTCCTGCCTCAGCCTCCTGAGTACATGGGACTACAGGTGCCTGCCACCACGCTCAGCTAATTTTTTGTATTTTTAGTGAGATGGGGTTTCACCATGTTAGCCAGGATGGTCTCGATCTCCTGACCTCGTGATCTGCCCACCTCGGCCTCCCAAAGTGCTGGGATTACAGGCTTGAGCCACCATGCCTGGCCACATTGAATTTTTAATTAAAAAAACCAAGTTCTGAAATGATTTGCTTTAGGAAGACTAAAGCTTATATTTCTGACCACTACTACCGGCTCATTTTCAATAACCCTCCCCCACACTCTTCCCTCTGTCTCTGGGGCAGAGTGGCAGTCATGTGATCCACAAAGCATTTCGTGTGCAGACAGCATCTTCATTTATATTGGCCTTCCTTGCAAAGGCCCATGGGCCTAGGGCAAATTTATTAAAGTGGAGTGTATTTATTCCATTTATTAAACAGGAATATTTGAAGGGTTTTCATTTAGAAGGGTGAGTTGATTTACTGTGTTTGGCTTTAGATGGCAGGGCTAAGTACAATGGGTAAAAGTTATAGGAAGGCAGATTTTAGCTCAACTTAAGATATATCAAAAGGGTTTTTGAAAGAGGATTTATTCATTTAATCATTTGACATATATTCATCAATCAGAATCAGAGAAGAGAGAATGACCTTTTATAGGGCTCTTCCTCTGTCTGGGACACTGTGGCAGGGTCTCTCACATTCTTTAATGTCGTGTACTTTTCTTTAATGTATAAGGAAGCTTATTATCCCCCATTATACAGATATCAAAAACTGAGTTTCCAAAAGGTTGTCACTTGCCCAAGCTGAACAATAGCTAGGATGTGACCTAGTCTGGCTTAAACGCAAATCTCTATTTTATGGAGAATTCATTCTCTTTCCACTTGACTGTGCTGTCTACCACAACAGTTAGAGGATCATATCTGCAAGACTACCAGAAATTGGATACAAGACTGAAAAATCCATCAGTTCACTTTTTCCCCATAATTCTTTCTCCTTTACCTCCCTCCTGTCTCTCTATCCTATCCCTGCCAACCCCCAAACCAGCCCCAACATGCAGTACAAAATTAAACACTTCACAGTTTAATCATCAGATTGTGAATGTTGTCAGACCACTTCTCCAAAGCATTGCTCATCACAGGGACACTTCCTCCCTCGCACAGCCTCACATGTAAGTGGATTCCTCATTCAGATTTAACTTAGAGGTTTTCTAAGGGCCATATCATGAATGAGACTGGGAAGAGAAGAGTAGCTCTTGCCTGATGCTATCTATGGGAAGATATACCAACCAGGGCCCTGTCAGGAAGCAGAATTAATCTCAGATGGTTCTGGGAAGTTACTTTAATGAAAGTACCCCTAACTCTAAACAGGGTTGAAGCATCAAGTAAGGGGTGGTAAAGCACCCAAGGCTGTCAATAGTGGGAAGCTATTGCCATTTCCAAGGCTGAAGGAGCTGGCGGGGGTGGAGGGGATGGGTAACTGTTACCTGGGCAGGTGGGAGTCAGAGCTATGAAGGAAGGGCTGCCAGGGACCTACATTCCTAGATGTATACAGCCTGAAGAAGGGGCACTAAGTCAGGAAGGGAGTAAAGAAGGGCCCCAGTATCTCTCTCTTCCTGTCCCTTGACCTCTCTGAGCTTCCCTTTGACAGAACCCAGCCAGGAACAAGAATGCAATGGAGCCCCATGAAGCTGTCCGTAGAACTTAGAGCAGGGCAGAGAAGGTACCAGAGAGAAAATAACCAGCTCATATGGGAATATGGGATAAGTGATATGGTGGGCAGAACTGAGGGAAAACCCATTGTGAATCACTCTGGCAGACGTCTTCCTGCTTCTCTGGACCCAATCTTCAGAAAGGAAGGGGTTAGAAAATTCTGTAATGATTTCTTCTTGAGGCAGCTGCCATTTACACTGCAGCCCCTGCCAAATGCCTTGCTGGTCTCAATATGTCTGAGTCTCTTAAAGGAATTCTTCTGGATAAGATTCATATTCATTCATGCATATAGGTTTACTATACATCATACTTTATTCTAAATACTGATAATAAAAAGAGGAAAAAGCAGGGCTGCTGTCCTGCAACCCATCATAATATACTAAGGGAAACAGATACATGAATCCGTTATTTCAGTGTGTTAGAAATAACATAAAAGTATGAATGCTGGTCTGAGGGATATCAGGTAGGCTGAGTAATCCTCCCTGCAGGAATTACAAAAGAAGATTTTGGGTCTTAAGGGATGAGGAGTTTTACTGTGGTAGACAAAGTCAGGACCATTCCTGGAATATGGCATGGCAAATGCCAAGTTATGTAAGATTGAAAAGAGATAGTGTGTTCAGGGAACAGCCAGAAAGTAATTGTGGCTGGAACATCAGGCACAGATTTTACAGTGAGTCATTAGGCTAGAGAACTTCCAGAATGGGTCAAACCTGGTCAAATTCTTGCTTCTTTCTATATACCACATCCTGAGCAAATGTTTCCAAAGAGGTCAAGTATTGCTGTTCCTGCTTGTTTCTTCCTACAGCCTTCTAAGAGAAAGCAAAGGAAAAGAGATCCCAGAGCCCAGGTGTGCAGCTGTTGGAGGAAAAGAGCCTGAAGGTACATAGGGGAAGCTCCTAGCTGTGCATGGGGGAAAGCCAGGGTAATTCATTTCAGCTGGTATTTCTCCAAAGCCTTCTGTATTCAAAGTTTTTTGGGAAAATTTCAACATAGGATATGTCCCTAACCTTAGGTAACTTCTAAATTGGTGAATCTGGGAAGGCTTCCTGGAAAAGACAAATTTTGGCTGATGTCTAAGAATAGAAGGAAGGAAACCAGCAAATATTGAATCCCTACTCTGTGACCAGATAATATAGCAGGTGCTTTTGATATGTTATTTCCCATAAGTCTCATGGTAACCCCTTGAGGTGGGTATCATTAGTCCCATTTTGCAGATAGGAAACTGAAGCTCAGAGAAGTGACTTGTCCAGAATCACCCAACTAGATAATAACCAAAGAAGAATTCAAACTTGACTGAGCATAAATCTAAAACCTACATTCTTGCTATTGTGTTATGTTTGCCTTCAAAGAACCATGCAAGGTGCACACAGTCAAGGGTAGACAAAAGAAAAAACCTTTTATTCTGTAAATGGATGCTGGGAGGACTTGGTGAAATAAGATGTGAATGGTCCCTGACTTACAGGGTTCAACTTATGATTTTTAGACTTTATGATGGTGCAAAAGTGATACACATTCAGTAGAAACCACACTTTGAGTTTTAAATGTTTATCTTTTTTCATTCTAGTGATATGTGGTATGATACTCTCTTATGATGCTGGGCAGTGGCAGTGAGCTGCAGCTCCCAGTCAACCAGGCAGTCACTAGGACAGACAACCCATACTGTGCTCTATAATATACTGTATTCAACATATCACATAAGATATTCAACACTTGATTATAAATAGACTTTGAGTTAGAGGATTTTGCCCAACTGTACACTAATATAAATGTTCTGAGCACACTTAAGGTACACTAAGTGATATGGTTTGGCTCTGTGTCCCCACCCAAATCTCATCTAGAATTGTAATCCTCACATGTGGAGGAAAGGACCTGGTGGGAGGTGATTGGATCATGCCAGTGGATTTCTCCCATGCTGTTCTTATGACAGTGAGTGAGTTCTAACAAGATCTGATGGTTTTAAAGTATGGCACATCCCCCCCTTGCTTGCCCTCTTTCCTGCCACCATGTGAAGAAGGTTCTTGCCTTACCTTTGCCTTCTGCCATGATTGTAAGTTTCCTGAGGCCTCCCCAGCCATTCAGAACTGTGAGCCAATTAGACTTTTTTTTTCATTCATAAATTACCCAGTCTCAGGTAGTTTCTTTGTAGCAGTGTAAAAATGGACTAGTATAGAAAATTGGTACTGAGAGAAGTGGGGCATTGCTATAAAGATACTTGAAAATGTGGAAGTGACTTTTGAACTAGGTAACGGACAGAGGTTGCAACAGTTTGGAGGGCTCAAAGAGAGGAAGATATGGGAATGTTTGGAACTTCCTAGAGACTCGTTGATTGGTTTTGACCAAAATGCTGATAGTGGTATGGATAATGAAGTCCAGGCTGAGGTGGTTTTAGATGGAGATGAAGAACTTACTGGGAACTGGAGTAAAGATAACTCTTGCTATGCATTAGCAAACAGACTTGCAGCATTTTTCCCTGCCCTAGAGCTCTATGGAACTTTGAACTTGAGAGAGATGATTTAGGGTATCTGGTGGAAGAAATTGCTAAGCAGCAAAGTGTTCAAGATGTAGCTTAGGTGCTCTTAACAGCACACACCCATATGTGTTCACAAAGAATTGGTCCAAAATTGGAACTTACGTTTAAAAAGGAAGCAGAGCATAAAGGTTTGGAAAATTTCTAGCCTGACCATGCAGTAGAAAAGAAAAACCCATTTTCTAGGGAGAAATTCAAGCTGCCTGCAGAAATTTACATAAGTAACAAGGAGCCAAATGTTAATTGCCAAGACAATGAGGAAAATGCCACCAAGGCATTTCAGAGATCTTCACAGCAGCCCCATTTCAGAGATCTTCACAGCATCCCCTCACATCACAAACCCAGAGGCCTAGGAGGGAAAAATGGTTTTGGGGACCAGGCCCAGGGCTCCGCTGCTCCATGCAGCCTCGAGATGTGGCACCCTGCATTCCAGCCACTCCAGCTCCAGCTGTGGCTAAAAGGGGCCAAGGTACAGCTCAGGCCATTGATTCAGAGGGTGCAAGCCCCAAGCCTTGGTGGCTTCCATGTGGTGTTAGGCCTGCAGGTGTGCAGAAGACAAGAGTTGAGCTTTAGGAGCCTTTGCCTCAAGATGTCCAGGCAGAAGTCTGCTGCAGGGGTGGAGCCCTCATGAAGAACTTCTACTAGGGTAATGCAGAGGGGAAATGTGGGATTGGAGCACCACACAGAGTCCTCACTGGGGCACTGCCTAGTGGAGCTGTGAGAAGACGGCCATCATCCTCCAGACCCCAGACTGGTAGATCCACCAACAGCTTTTACTATGCATATGGAAAAGCCACAGGCACTCAATGCCAGCCCATGAAAGCAGCTGCAGGAGTTGACCCTGCAGAGTCACAGAGGCAGAGGTGTCCAAGGCCATGGGAACCTACTTCTTGCATCAGTGTGTCTTGGATGTGAGACATGGGGTCAAAGGAGATTATTTTGGACCTTTAAGATTTAATGACTACCCTGTTGGGTTTTGGACTTGCATGGGGCCTGTAGCCCATTTGTTTTGGCCAGTTTCTCCCATCTACCCAATTCCTGTACCCCCATTGTATCTTGGAAGTAACTAACTTGCTTTTGATTTTACAGGCTCATAGGCAGAAGGAACTTGCCTTGTCTCAGATGAGACTTTGGACTTGGACTTTTGAGTTAATGCTGGAATGAGTTAAGACTTTGAGGGACTGTTGGGAAGGCATGATTGGTTTTTAAATGTGAGAAGGACATGAGATTTAGGAGGGGCCAGGGTGGAATGATATGGTTTGGTTCTGTGTCCCCACCCAAAAATCATCTTGAACTGTAATTTCATGTGTGGAGGGAGGGACCTGGTGGGAGGTGATTGGATCATGGGGGTGGATTTTCCCCATGCTATTCACATGATAGTGAGTTCTCATGAGATCTGATGGTTTTAAAGTGTGGCACTTGCCCCCCTTGCTCACTCTCTCTCCTGCTGCCATGTTAAGAAGGTTCTTGCTTCCCCTCTGCCTTCCACCATGATTATAAGTTTTCTGAGGCCTTCCCAGCCATGTGGAACTGTGAGTCAATTAAACTTCTTTTTTTTTCATAAATTACCCAGTCTCAAGTAGTTCTTTATGGCAGTGTGAAAATTGACTAATACCCTGGTTAGATATATTAAATGCATTTTTGACTTATTATATTTTCAACATATATCCTAAGTTCAGGAGCATCAGTACCCTCTTTTTTCACACTTCTATGCCTTTGGATATGCTGATCTCACAGTCTGGAATACACTCTGTCCCATCTCCATGACTCCCCATAGCTCTTGTTGCTTATACTTTTTCTATATCCTTTTAGCTTTAGCTCAGATATTCCTTCTGCTAGGAAGCCTTACACTGATTACATAGTATTAGATATACCTTAATTGTTTACCTCTCCCACCAGACACTGAGCTCCCTTCTAACATTTCTATGTGGCTTCAGCATCACCCACAAAATGCATCCTGTTGACTAAATAAATGCCTATCAGAGAAAGCCCATGGCATAACAGGTGTTTTATCAATAACAGTCTCCTATTTCTCCTCTTTCTGGAGGCAGAATTTTGAATAAAGACTCAAAGGCCAACAATAAAACAATTTTATATGAAATTAGCCTCTTCCAGGAAGTCTTGTCACATGGAAGGCTCCCTCCATGCCTGTCTCTTATTGAAAGAGGTAAGCACTGTGACACTGACTTTTTCCAAGCTCACCCTGCACAATGACACCCAAGTCCCCTTAACCTTACACAGAAAGGCTGGGATCTTACTTTTCCCAGTGGCTGTCTCTTGCCTGGTAAAATGCAAAACCTTTTCCACTTACAGGGCAGAGGCAGGGCTAGCTGATGGATTGACAAGAGCAGAGTAGCACACAAAGTAACAGTAAAACAGAATGATAATGCATTTCCTAATGGCCTCCTTCACAGCTGTGTACACTGATTTAATCTTTGCAAAGCACTGTATTGTTTATGAGGCCTCTGGGTACAATTTTATGCCTGACTGAAGAGGTTGCTAATAGCTGCCATATTTGTGTTTAAGGACCTGCAAAGGATTAAACGAAGTATTTTAGGGCAATGAGCCATAATAAACTAATAATATATTGCAAATAATAAATGTTTTTTAGCCAATAATTGACTACAAATCTGGTGAACTTTAAATGACAAAAAATACTAATTATAAATACAGTTGTTCCAAGTATCCATCAATGGAGGTGAAAAATCAGAGAAGAATAGGAGAGATCTGGGGCACTTCATGTCATCAGGAATGTTGGCACAGACAATGAACTCTTTCCCTGGCATCATGGCTGAGAACTGTCAAAGTCACTTAGTGAAATGCTGGGTTTCATTTCCATTTTTTAAAGGATGGAGCAGGAGTCTGAGGCCTGAGTCACTCACTTAGATGGGTGGTTATTTATTTATTTTTTTAACCGATTCATTTTCTAGGCCTAAGGTTTCTAGTGCTTGGTTTGCATTTAGGGGAATTACTAGAGAAATCCTCCAGACAATCTTGAAAAGAAGGGCTGGGGCTTAAGAGAAAGAATTTGGCTGGGTGCAGTGGCTCATGCGTGTAATCCTACAACTTTGGGAGGCCTAGATGGGAGGATCACATGAAGCTAGGAGTTTGAGAACAGCCTGAACAACATAGTGAGACCCCATCTTTACAATAAATAAATAAATACATTAGCTGAGCATGTTAGCATGCTCCTATAGTCCCAGCTACTTGGGAGGTTGAGGCAGGAGAATTGCTTGAGCCCAGGACCTCAAAGCTACAGTGAGCCATGATTGTGCCACTGCACTCTAGCCTGGGTGACAGAGAGAGACCCTGCCTCAAAAAAAAGAAAAAAAAAAAAAAGGAAGAAAGAAAATAAATAAGTTATGTTTACCTAAGTAAGTCTCTGCAATGAGCCAGTTTGTCTCATTCTTTGAATGAGAAGCCTGAGACACAGAGAGATGAAGTGTTTGGTCTGAAGTGGTATGGTTGGTTAATGGCAGAGCCACAGTCAGCTATTGAGACTCCAACACCCATGCTCTTTTCACCAAATCATATTATATTTCTTTTATGAACCCATTATGGGACACAGAAGAGGGATTTTTTTCTTTGCAACACTTTGGAAGAATATATTTCTATACTTTCCACATCTTTCAATCACACCAGTTTTTTTTTCTGTTCTTATACATAATATATATTCATTACCTAAATTTAAACTATATTTTTTAAAACTCAAGATGAAAATTAGAATTACCCATATTTATGCCACCCAAATAAATCATTCTCAACTTTCTGTTGCATTTTCTTTAAGAATTTTTTTCCATGTAAATGTAACAAAATATTGGGATTATATTTATGACTTCTCAATAGCCTAACTTTTTGAAAACACCATTATTTGATATTATTGCATGTTTTTTGAAAAGCGTCATTTTATAAGTCTGTGATATTCCATGGGCACAGGGATAAGGCGGCCTAGAACATTCAGAGAGCTCCAAGTGATAGAAAAAGGGAATAATACTTAAGAGTCTGGATTCTGGAGTCACAGTGCCTTAGTTCAAACCCAGATATGTGACAAAATATAGAGAGGCTTAGCAGAGTGCCTATAGCAGAGTAAACACTAGGTAAATATCCACTGGTGGTAACAGTGGGGGGAAATGATGGTGGCAGTAGTATGGAGATAGTTGCTGATACTGGGGATTGGGGTGATGGAAGTGATAATGATATTAAGGATGGAAGCAGTGGAGGTGGTGGGGGATGGAGTTGGGAGCGGAAATGGTGGAGATGGTGGTAGTAATGGTGGTGGGGGCGGAGGTAGTGGTGGAGATGGGGGTGGAGGTGGGGGTGGTGAAGGTGGTGGAGGTGGTAGGGATGGTGGTGATAACAGATAAGACTGCTCAAGTATTAAATGCAAGAAAGATGAATCAAGCATGTGTGTATGGGGGAAATCACAGCAAGAGATGAAGCCAGAAGGATGTGCAGATATCCAGATAATGAGGATTTTGTGCATGATCTTAATAAGTTGGGCCATTTTCCTAGAGGCTATGGGAGGGGAGGGCAGAAGAGAGTCTCAAGCAGGGAAGTGATGTGGTCTAATTTGGAGTGGGGGAGATATTTTAGGACAGGAATCCTTCAAATATCACCATCTAGTCATCCACCCATTCTGCATATGTATGAGGTCAGATATGATTTGGAGCAAAGAATAACCCTGTTTCAGGCCAAAGAAACACAACCTGGATGTTACCTGGGAGAAGTCAAGTAGAATGGTGAGAGGACTAGAAAGCATGGGGCAAGGGTGGAAACATGAATGTGTTAGAGATGTTTCACTAGCAAAAAGGAGATTTGAGGAAACGAGGAAATAATGAAAAACACTTAGCACCCGCTGAATGGTTTTAAGAATAGGAAAGTGTCACAATCAGATTTGTTTTTTAAAAAGATCATTCTGGTTACTGCCTGGAGAATGTATTTTGGGAGAGGGATAGAAAATCAAAGAGGAAAGAGGGACCCATTATGAGACTACTGTTGTAGCCTGAGAAAGACTGCCAGTTTGGACTAGGGTAGTGGCAGTGGAAATGGATTGACACACATTCACGAGGTGGGTTTGGGTTTTGTGATGGATTAGAAGGGAGCAGTGAAGGAGAGAGCAGAGCCAAGGATCACTCCTAGGTTTCTGGTTTGAGCAGTCAGATGGATGGAGATGCTTTCTCTGAGATGGAGACGCTGAGAGCAAAGCATGTCTAGGGGGCCGTGATGAAGTGCTCGGTTTGTTGAATGAATGAAAAGACTGTATGCCACAGATCAGGGCATATTTCGGCTTTTCTTTTTTAGTAGGGAGATAGGAAGGGTGTCAGGAGAAAGGTGTGGAAGGCTCTGAAATAGGAAAAAAGATACGATCTCTGTTAGCTATTATGTGTGGCAATAACCCTTGCTGTGTTTATTGCCCATTTAATAGAGTGTACATTACAACCCACAGTGATAATCAAGAGATGGCGGATGCCGAATGAGATGCGGAGATACCATAGGTGGGAAATTTATTTCACTGCAAAAAGGTTCACATTTATGAAAATGGATTCTGAATGAGTCAGCCCCTGGTTCCCTCCATCTCTCCTTCCCTCATCTCCGAAAGAGTGAGCATAGAAGCTTTTGAACCAGAGTGAGTGGAGGCAGAGAGCCATCCTGAAAAGAAGAGTACCACCAGAGAGAAGGAGATAGGATGACGAGTGGCTTACCCAAGGGATTCTCGAGTCAAGTTATTTTACTTGACATGCCAGATATTGAAAATAGTCTTTGCTGCCATTTTCCTGGAAACTATATAGGCATGGAACACTTCAGACCAACAGTCAAAACCTTTCTTTACCTCAGATTAGCTATATTACATTTTGATGAATTTCATCACCTTTCTAGCTTCCATTTCTCACCTGTTGTTATAGGGATCATAATAATTTCTTCACAGAGTTGTTGTAATGATTAAATGAAAAAATATTCATTAGACATCAAGTGCAGTAGTGGTAAGGTAATAAATATGAATTCCTTCCTCTTTCTCCCCCATTCTTTTCTTTCCACACTTTATGGGGTTGAACTTGTCCATGAAGTATGACTGGCCTTGAGTTGGGTTTTAAGTGAGCCTCAGTGAAGGCAAGGAGTTCTGATACCTGGAATCACTATTCCTTCATTTGCCTCGGGGCTTTGACCCAAATGGGTAGAGTACCTGTGTTAGCAAAGGATCAAGGCAGCTGTTAATGAACGTCATGGGGCATTGGTGACCTAAGCAGTTCTCCTGGTGTGTTCCCAGGAGCTTGGCTGCATTCAGGTGTCTTTCGGAAACAGCAGCATCTGGTGGCTGCTTAAGTAGTAACCCTGCTGCAGGCTTCAGGAGGAGCAAATCACAACATCTGTGTTTCTCCAGCAAAACAGCAGGGCTATTAAAATAGCTCTTAGGCACAATCTATCACTGCACCGTCTCCCTTGTTTGCACAGGCTGTAGCTGGGGAAGTGAGAATCTGACGAGACAGTAATGATGGAGGACTAGAAGAGAACTCTGGAGTCTTGGGCTCATATCCAGGCTTTCCCAACAACTTGCTGGGTGACCTTGGCCGAGTCACCTGGACTCTCTGGTCCCCTGTTTCCTGACTTGAAAGCTCCCAGAGGCATTCTGTGGTTTCTAACAACAATTTCTGCTTGGGAATAGTTAGAATTAATGACAGAAGTCTCCTTTGTTATATGACATTGGAAAAAGTGTTCAATTTTTCAATGAGTCAGTTTCCTCATCTGAAAACAGGGTTGATGATAGCTAACATAAAGAGTGGCTATGAAAGTTGACAGTGATGCTGATTATAAAGCCCTAGACATGGTTTCCTGGCTTATAACAAGCTCTCAGAAAATGTCAGATGCCTTTCTGACCCTAGATCATAGCATTGCCTGATATCAACACTGAATCATAAAGCCACTGTTCTTTAGTCTAAGCATAGAATCTGAAATCATGTTGACAATTATTATTATCCAGCATGAGCTGCCCATTATTCCCACCCTACACCCTAGCCACATTAATTTCTTATAGGTGCTTTTTGCACATGCCAATCCATCAGTCAAAGAATATCCCTCCTTTATCATTCTTTAAGATTGAGCACGAACTTCTGCTTTCATGAAACTTTAAACTCTCTGTATGGAGAACCCAGACCTCTCTTAACAAGTTTAACAGAGTTTAACAAAAGGTGGGGAAAATAGACTTGGGAAGGAGGGCCTGGGTTATCCTGTTCCCTGAAATACACTTCAGTTGACCACACAGGAGGACAAGGTTGGCCTCAGCCCTCAAAGACATACATAGCCTTTGCATTTCCTCTGCTCCCTGGCATCTTGTACACTTCTAATTATAGCTTTTATCATATTTTATGTATATATATTTTAAACCATATATATAGTCATATCTAGTTGTACATATATAATATATATCTATACACATATATATGTACACATACGTATATGTGCAGTTTTATATATATATAAAACTGTGTATGTATATATATAACTGTGTGCACATATATATATAAAAAACTGTGTGCATATATAAAAGATATATATATTCCCTTCACAGACTGAAACATTTAATGAGGCAACAATGACTGCTGAATCCCTTTTTGCTTTGGTATACATAACCTAGTGCCTGGTACATGGTAGGTACTAATGAAATGTTCAAAGAATGAAGGAAATATGTATCTATTCCACAATAATTACTCATTGAGTATCTACTGTGTTCAAAAAAGCAGTCAACATAAGCTTTCTCCTTATATTAGTTAGCCTCTGTGTATTTTATTTTATTTTCAAGACGAAACTAATTGATTTCTTTTAGTAGAATGGTAGGAGTATGGCAGCAAAATTTTTATTTCCTTAAAGCTTCATTTTGTACTTCACACCAGCCATTTCTTATCTCTGTGGTGTTGCGGACAAAACTGTGAATTTACTGCAATCTGAAATCACTGCATGACTATTACAGTGCTTACTATTATATTTGCAGTTGTTTAATGCTACTTTATATTTCCACATTTTATATTCTAATGCATTAGACTGCAAAATATTCCAATTCATCTTCTTCTGTTTGAGATTTTAAATAGGTTAATAGGATGCAAATACAAGCTTCATTTTTGCATCCTGTTACAAATATTGTACACAGATATTGCTATGCTGTTTGGGCAAAATGTAATGAAATGTAATTTAATATGATACTTTCAAGCACATCAGATTGTTCCTGAGGGCTTTATGGCCATGGTCCTAAACTGTGTTAAACCATAGCTAAAACAAGTCTGAACAAAATGAGTTTCTTTCCTCATTTTACTGGCCTCTCCTAGTTTGATGACTTTTTGTCATCCATGCCAAATGATGTTTTGGGTATCATGCAGTTAGGGTAGGCTAGAAATGAGTTTGAAAATATTCAGCTCTCCTCATGAGAAAATATTGCTGTTTCTACTTTTAGCCTACTCCTCAATTCACCAACTATTTTTATTTATTTATTAATTCACCAAACTCACTCACTCATTCACTTATTTATTCAACTCTACATCTTGCTTTATTAATGCTCCTGACATTAATCTTTCGGTTCCCCAACACTGCCCTGAGGCATAAGCTGTGTGGTCCTGGGCAGCCAACTTGACTGGAACCAAGGACAGTGCCTGGCTTTTAAAGGGGCTGAATGTACAAGAATGGGAAGCATGGATGTGAGCTTTCTTTTTTATAGGGAAGATTCCTTTATTATAAGAATTAAATGAAATAATGTCTTTAAAGTACTTGGTACGATGTGAAACATGCAACAGTTAATGTTCATGTAAAAGAAATGCATAAATGAACCTATTTCCAAATCTATAAAATAGGAACTAAACACCTATTTACAGGTTTGTTCTCAGTACCTGGCATATAATAAAGTTTAATCTGTTCTCTTTTCTAAAGAAAAATAGTAGGATTCACCACCGATAATAGGCAATAACAACAACCAAGTAAACACATTGGGAGCAAATTTGTAAGTTTCTGACTTACAAATATCCTAGAAAAGTACTGTAAGCATAGGATTTTTTTTTTTTTTTTCAGTCTCAGTCCTTCCCAGGCTCACTTATTTCCTTGTTGTCCCACCATTACAGAGCTTCCCTATCCACAGCCTGAGAGGCATCACTGTAGGTTCAAATATGTGTCAGGATTTGTGATGGAGAAGGAAAAGAAGAAGAGAATCTTCACAGCTCTTCATCCCTGTCTTCCAAGCCCATAATAACTCCCTAAGGCCAGTTTTGGGTGGACCACCCCCACCCCTACAAAAATGCCCAGGCATCTGAGCCCTGTTCCCTTGGAAACATAAACAATCCACTTCAGTCCTTTGAATAACCAAAGACTCAGGAGAGAACAAATAGAAAGACTGCAGCTACTTTGACTCCCTCTGTCTTTTCTCTCTTTGCCCCCCCAGAAATTGAATCCTCTCCATTGACTGCACATCTGCATTTCAGTAGGCAAGCTGCAATTATTCAATGACAGCATGCCCTGATTTTTACCATGGAAAACTGGGGCTGGTTGAGATGACCCAGGCATGACAGTCCTCTGTCAGCAAGGCAAGAAATAAGTATCTGACTAAAAATCTCACAGCAATGGAGAGCACCGCTGTTTACCATTCTCATAGGCTGTTCAAAATGTTGGACCAAGATCTGTTCCATCTAGGGCCCAGACATCCCTGAAGATTCCTTTCTCTATACGTCTCCATAGGTCTCATTTATGCTCTTAAAATTGTCCTCGTGACAAGAGTGGCTATCCAGTGGTATGATTGTCACTTTTTTTCTTTTCATTTATTGGCCCAGGTTTTAAAGCTTGGAAGAGAGATAGGAAGTATCTCCAAAAGTCTTATTCTTCTGTTTCCCACCCTCTCTTCATCTAGTTACTCTTGTGACTTGTCCTTCAGACATCAGCTCAGATGCCATTTTCTCAAAGATGCTTTCTGTGACACTGGCATGGCTCTTTGTACTGCTCTTCCTGCCTCAGATCACAGTTGATCTTATATATACATATGCATGGATATATGATTTAATTGTACGTGTACATATGCAAGTGTATATGATTTAATTATGCACGTACATATGCATATATGATTTAATTATGTGTTTGTCCTATTGTTTAGCATGTGTCTTCTCCACTGGAATGTAAGTTTTATATGAGGAAGAGCCATGTCTGTGTGTTCACCTTTGTTTCCACAGAACAAAGCATAGTCTCTTGCACATAGTATGTTCTTGGTGAGTATTTATTCAATGAATCATTGGAAAAACAAAAGAAAATGGGCATGGTGACTCACGCCTGTATTCCCAGCACTTTGAGAGGCTGAGGTTGAAGGATTACTTGAGCCCAGGAATTTGAGACCAGCCTGGGCAACAAGTGAGACCCTGTCTCTACAAAAGATACAAAAAATTAGGCAGGCACAATGGCATGCACCTGTAGTTCAAGATATACAGGAAGCTGAGCTGGGAGGATCACTTGTTCCCCAGAAAGTCAAGGCTGCAGTGAGCCATGATCCTGTCACTGCACTCCAGCCTGGGTAGCAGGGTAAGACCCTTTCTCAAAAAAAAAAAAAAAAAAAAAAGAGAAGAAAATAAATATGTATTATTTAGTTAATATAACTTTTTCATGGTTTATGAATGAGGCAATATTTGGTGGGGTTACCTAAGACTAGCCATGCTTTCAGTAATTCACTTGAAGGACTCACAGAACTCAACATCTTAACATATAGTAACACTCAGGGCTAAGATTTATTATGGAAGTACCCTCCAGATATACAGCTAGACGAGTAAGGGAAAAACATTAGTAGAGTCTGAAGGAATTCATATTTAGGTTTCCTAATCTCTCTCCCTCCCAGGAAGGGTCACACAGAATGTACTCTACACCCAGCTGCAAAAATACAGCAACATGGCTGGGCGCGGTGGCTCACACCTGTAATCCCAGCACTTTGGGAGGCCGAGGTGGGCGGACCACGGGGTCAGGAGATCAAGACCATCCTGGCTAACGTGGTGAAACCCCGTCTATACTAAAAAATACAAAAAATTAGCCAGCATGGTGGCGGGCGCCTGTAGTCTCAGCTGCTCGGGAGGCTAAGGCAGGAGAATGGTGTGAACCCAGGAGGCGGAGCTTGCAGTGAGCCGAGATTGCACCACTGCACTCCAGCCTGGGCAACAGAGCGAGACTCCATCTCAAAAATAAAGAAATAAATAAAATAAAATAAGCAACATTTGTCTGATGTTTCTGGCCTAAAGAAGCCCACTTGGGACTTAGTACTCAAGATTTTTGTTGGGATCTAGTCACATATGCACTCTCCATCTAGCAACTACTAAAAATCTAGACTCCTAGAAAGAAAAGAGGTTTTCTGCATAAACAGTCTAGGTATAGTAAATCGGTCTTATCAGTTAGAGACTATTTAAAGAGCCAAGTTCCCAGACATCAGCAAAGAACCAATCTTGTAGGCAGGCTTTCCAAAAGGTGTGCCTCAGGCCTGTGTGTCAATTCTTTCCTGCACAGGGAACTATATATATATATATTTTTCATGTGTAAGGAGACATACATACTCACATACATGTATACACATTAGCCAATAACTGGGTGAGAGATGCTGTTCAGAGAAGTGTTTGAGAAGGCCAGCTTTGAGGTCACGCTGCCTGGGTTTAAATCCTGCCTCTACTACTTGCTCTGTTGCCTTGGACAAGTTTTATAACCTACCTGCTATTTAGTCATGTGCTAAAAATAGGAAAAGTAATAGGCCTACCTCATAGTATTACTGCAAAGATTGAAAAGGATGAAGTACTCATTCAACAGTGCTTGGTAGGGAGTAAGAACGTGTTAATTGATAAATAGTGTCACCATTATTTTTATCATTGTTATTCAGAGGATTCCAGAGGTTTAATGGTCTTTCTTTGCTCAGGGCATCTAAGTTGAGTGACTGAATGAATCTGTAAGTGACAAGGTACCTGGGTTCTAATCCTGTCTCTGTCAGTCACTTACAGAACATTCTTGGGCAAGTTAATTCCTCTCCCTAGCCTCAGTTTCCTCATCTTCACAAGATAGCAGTCCTTGTCTGGCCAGTTCTCATAGCAGAGCAGGAGAGAGTGTAGAGTGTCATGAGAAGGAGTCAGATATAATTGGACAAGCACCAGTCTCTCTGTACGCTAGTCTTCCAACCTGTAATGTGAACATATCAACATAGTATCATACATCTTAAGTACTGACTGCTATTATTACCAGCACTGCAGTAATGCTCACATGAGATAATGGATGTAAGAATGGTCTGTATTTACCCATGTAAGGAATTATTTTATTATCAGAAAAAGCAATTTGGGGCTGTAGTCGTACTTTAAAGAAATCTTGCTGAACCTTCAGCTGGGGTGGAAATCTCTGGGTGGAAGGGGGCGGGCTGAGCAAAAAGGTGGCAGAGAAAGAGCTGGGCCTCCAGCAGACTGTGAGTTACCCAGACCCAGAGACTGTCTACCATATTGTGTCCCTGGCATCTGGCACAGTGCTTGTCACCTGGCAAGAAGCTCTCAATAAATGTTTCTTGGATGAATAAATGAATCCTATCAACTGGAAATATTATTACTCCAAAGAAACCATTGATTGAATGTTTACTGTCTAGCAAGCATCTTGTGCATTATCTTTTACAGAATAATAGCAGTCTTGTAAGATAGGCGGCATTCTTCTCACCTTATGCAGATGAGAAAACTGAAGCCCTGTGAGCTGAAGATCAGAAAACAAATACGAAACTGCCAAAATCAAAGCTACGTTCTCTGAGGCTCCAAAACCACAAAACATTTCTGACTACCTACCACTAAAATTGTGTTATTGTTTTTATACTTCATTTTTCTTAAGCGAACTTCTTAAATTTTTAATACAATTGTTAGTTAATAATCAGATACTGTCTCATAATTCACTTTTAAATTTTTCATAATGCACCTTGGCAAGAGAAGAATCAGCCTCAGCTCAGATGCTGTAAGTGAACCTGTGCCTGTCAGTTAAGGCTATAATCCAAACAAGGTGAATGCTTTAGGGGTGGGGGTTGGGAAAAATTAAACATTTATTGAATTATCTAAAAGAGTGCGCTACTAGGCTTTCTTAAAATGTGCTTTCAAGGTGATAGATTAACTGAAATAAAATTATTGAATTGAGAAGCCATTCATTAAGAAGGAATTTGAGGAAACCAGAATGCTTTTTATAATATTACCACCAGAGCTGCCTATAAAATGAAAGTTATGTATTCTTAGGTGATATTTAAATCACCGGTTTGTCATCTTTTCCTCTCAGCCTTTTTTCTAAGAGTGTAAAAACTTATGATTTACAACTTCTGATATAATTAGAAAGTTAATTAGTTTTTCTCAGATTCCACCTGCTTTATTTTAACCACAATTTTCTTAGCCCATCCTTTTTTTCTGGATTGTCATTTATGTCAAAAGTAGGATACATTTTTCTTTTTGTCTATCCTTGCTGTCAATTGAAATCTAAGACTCAATACATTAGCCAAGTCAGTATCTACATGCATACATGGCTGCATCCATTTTTCTTGTCTCATTTTTTTCCTTGACTTGATTCCAATATTTCAATCAACAGGCTTTTGTTGAGCACATAATATGTGGTATCACTGGAACAGGGGAAAAGCCAGAACACAAAGAAAAAACAATGAAAGCCCACTCTCAGTCCCCAAGATTACTGCAGCAGGAGGTGGGGTGGAAGATAAGATAAAAATGTATCAAAAGGAAAACTGTATGGTGCTGTGGAAAAAGCAGGAGTTTTAAAATCAGATGTCCACAGATTTACCATTTATAAGCAGTAAGAACTTCAGAAAAGTTTTTAACCTCTCTGAACTTCAGCTTTCTCCTCTATAAGATGGGGATGATCGGCCAGGCATGGTGGCTCACGCCTGTAATCCCAGCACTTTGGAAGGCGGAGGCGGGCGGATCACAAGGTCAGGAGATCGAGACCATCCTGGCTAACATGGTGAAACCCCGTCTCTACTAAAAATACAAAACATTAGCCAGGCATGGTGGTGGGCGCCTGTAGTCCCAGGTACTCGGGAGGCTGAGGCAGGAGAATGGCGTGAACCCGGGAGGCGGAGCTTGCAGTGAGCCGAGATCGCACCACTGCACTCCAGCCTGGGCGACAGAGCGAGACTCCATCTCAGAAACAAAAACAAACAAACAAAGATAGGGATGATCATGTCAACATATTTGGAGTGTTTTAACAAATAATAAAGTAATGTAAGTGAAGGGCCTGGTATAGGACCCGGAGCAAGGTAAGCTCTTAGGGATTGTCAGTGGCACCAGAGCTTTCCTACTCTTTCCCTGCCCCCATCCCAGTGCCGCCTTTGTGATACCTATAGGCAGGCCAAAGGGAGTACGGAAGGAAGTAGCCTTTGTGTGTTCCAGATAAGTCACGAAAGGTGGAAGACATGGCTCTTTAACTGGACCTTGAAATACTAATAAAATAATGTCATCCTCCCCATTATCATTATAGGAGGAGGAAAAAGAGGAATAGCTTCTAATTATTGAGTACCAAGTATTGCCTGGCACTCCTGGCACTGTGTTAAATCTTCACCATCTTCCATAATTTATTTTTCCCCACAAAATTTGATGAGGTAGATGTCATTATTATTCTCATCTTGAATATTGAGAAATAGGTCCAGAAAATGTAATTGCCCAAGGTCACAGAATGGCTAAGTAGTAAAGCTGGGATTGCAGAAAAGGAATGTTGACTGCAAAGCTAGAATTGAGCCACATTTTGAGTTATCCTAGGCACAGATACTAACATGTGTTATTAACTTCTTTCTTCCTGACCAATGGGTCCTAGTTGATTTTCTATAGTACAGGATCCCTTTAACAATGGCTGAACTGTTCTTCATTTTGATATGTGTTTGATGTCCTATAGGAGAAGGGCAGGTTATGAAGGGGAAACAGGCATAAATGTTAAATAAAAAAAGGGAATCAAAAACTGGATCTGGCCTTTGGCAGCATTAATTTTTCTCCCAGTAACTTATCTAAGATTTAGCTCATCTTATATTAAACAATAAAGAGTTACCATAGCAACCTCATTGCCATGTAATAACATTCACATCCTTCCCAACCGTAAAATCAAAGCCAGAGAGGCAAATAGAAACCATCAAATTACCAAATACCCATCTTCTTCATCTCTTTTTCTTTTGTAGAATGATTATTGATTACTTTCTTTATTGTAGGTCAGTGACACTATTACTAATTTTTTTCCCTTCCCCCTGTCTCTTGCTCTCTATGTGAATAAGAAGGAATGGGAGAGGAGCACATGGCAAGTGCCTCCAGTCCTCAGAGTGGCAGAGCACTTCCTATTCCAGGAGGACAAAGCTTGAGTCAGTGCCATCTCCTGCCAGCTGCTGCCAGTATTGCTCTGGGGACATTTATTTCTCTTGCTGGCTGCAGAATGCTTGATTAACCCTGTGCACTTGTCACATCTGCTCCGATGCCTGTTTGCTGTATCGCTTCACCTTCTGGCAGGAATTCACTGTCCATGTTGGAGCCCTGGGAGGCAGTGTCTGCAGCAGATGTTCCATCCATGGTGCACAGAGTGGGGCAACTTGCTGCCCCTCCCCACTATCTCTGCATACCTGCTGCTGCTTTCTCCCTCTCTTCCTTTTGGCTAATTCCTAGTTTTCCTGCAGGATTCAGGTCAGGTATTACCTCCACCAAGAAGCCTTCCCTAATGTTCTCAGCTTGGATGAGATGCTCCTCTTCTGATATTCTACAGGTCCTGTTTATTCCTCTTCTACAGCAGTGCTCACGCTGTGTCACAAGGATGTACTCATATCCTGCTCATCATTGCATGTGAACTACTGGAGATAACTATCTATATACATATATCACATCTCCTAATATGCGAAGCACAAAGTAGGAACTCAATAAACATCAAACATCCCACTTCCTTGGCAGTGGATAGCATGAAACTGTTTATTGGCACTAACCTACGGATAGTTAATCAGACTGATTGGTTCTCTGTTTCCTTCTTCTGAGATTTTTACATGTGAATAAAAGTAGATGGACTGAGAAGCAAGTTTGGTTAATCTGCTGTACCCTAGCAAACCACATCTTTTTAATTTCATGCACCAACGGAATGATACACCACACCTGTTACAGTGTGACAGCTTGCTACCTTGTATAATTCAACATGCTGATGCAGATGAGCATGCAAAATTATTCTGGGAGGGCGGAATGAGACCCAGGAGATCAGAAATGGCACCAAGTTTCCCAAGATGGTGTTTCTTTACCCTTTCCTCATGACCTCATCCACTTGTGGGACCTGACCTGAACAACATTCACACATTAACTCAATGAAGGACAATTATACCTTTACTATACACCAGGTCCCAGGAGCAAAATGCCTAATAAGAAAATTTATCTTATTTGAGATCATATAGTCATTTATTCAATCAACAAATGTTCATTGAGGATCTCAATAATTGTTTGTAGAATAAATGAGTGAATGAATGAAGAATAAAGGGTCTGTCCAGTCTTCAGTCCAATTTCTGCCCTGCTACCAGATCTATTATTCTAAAACCCACTCAAGTCACCTTCCTCCTGCCCTTAACACCTGTGATGATCCTTCATCTTTTATAGAATAAAATCCAGAGATATAAACTCAGTGAGACATTCAGATGCTTTGACAATCTGGCTTCAGTTCCTACTATAGCCCTGTGTGCCTTCCTCTATACAGTCCTGCCTCCTCTAATGTTCTCACTTACTTGTTCTCTACTGGAAAGTAACTATCCTGAAGGGTCATATTTTTGAATTTGAGGGCTTACAAAATAAGTTGCTCTTGGGCATCCAAAATCTGCTGTTTCAAGCTGGATGATCATCTTCAAAGATGGTAAAGATGTCAGAGCTTTCTTTCTGAGCAAGCTAGGGGCCCTAAACTCTGACTCAGTCTGGGGTTACCAGGAGCCAGAGCTTTGTTTCAGAGTGGGAATGAAGTTGACTATGTTAGCATAAAATTGTAAAGATCTTCAATGAAACTGGGTCACCCTTTTCACGTTACTTCTGAGAAAGCTGAGACCTAGGATATGAAGTGGCTTGTCTGAAGCCATGACGTTAAATCACTACATGGGCACTAAAACTCAGTCTAGGCCTTTCCCAGTTTATCCTGATCAATATCCAGTACCCTCATGGGAAGCACTCCCCCAAGGCCACTCATCAGTGCAGTTTGGGATCATTCATGTCTTTCTCCATGCAGGACACCTGTCAGCTCTTTCTCCCAACTGTGAGGTTGTGAATCTCTCCAGGAAACTTTAGTGCTCCTCTGCCCAGCTGCTGCTGGAATCTCTGAAGCTCGACAAAGCAGACTCTCTGCTGGCTAGTGCTCTGGATGAATGCCATAAATATTAGCTGCAGGCAATGAATGACTGACACAGGGAATAAATATTTGTTTTCTCTGAGAGGCTACGCTATGGTGTTGGTTAAGACGCATATCCCACTGTTGGCTTTGGGCAAAATTGCTACTGAAAATGTGACATGTATCAGTCTGTGTACATGTTATTGGTGAGGTCAAATATAAATCCTGTGCTGAGAATGTCTGTATTGTGTTACACTCTGGTCAGTAATGAAGCTCTCAGGCTCTCCTGTAAACACATTTTGAGGTAACATGTTACCTATTTAGAGAAATAGGTAACCCTATTTCTCTAAATCACACCCTGGAAGAAGAATTAGTCAAATTTCAAAAGCAATCAGCCATCGTTCATATCCCAAGAACAAAATATAGTACGTCTGTGTGCTGGGCAAGTCTCTGGCTGTTACCCTACAGTGTGACCACATTCACAGCATGGAAGGTGAACCCCCACCCTCACCCACAATGGGCACTTGTGGGTGAGCAAATGCTATGGACGCTGGAACCAAACCACCAAGCTTCAAATCCTGGCTTGGCCATTCACTGGCTGTGTGATTTTTGACATGTGGCTTAAACTTCCTGCCTTCAGCTCATTCTATAACATGGAGATAACATCTAACTCATGGGATGGTTGAATAGACTAAATGAATTGACAGAAATGCTTAGAACTGTACTGGCAACTTAGCAAGTGGTATATATATATTAGCCATGATTATTATCATCAGCAGCACATTATTACACTTACTATCCTTCTCAAAAGACATTCACCAACTGGCTGGACAGCATGATGTGGTAGAAAGAACATGGGCTTCCTAATCAGACAGGTCTAGGGTCAAATCCCAGCTTTGCTATTTGCTAGCTGGTAAGGCCTTAGGCAAGTTTGACGTCTTTGAGTCTCTGCTTCCTCATCCATAAAGTGGGCTTAGCAGTCCCTGTCTCAGTGTTATTCTATTAGATGACATATGCCTCATGCGGTTCCCAGAGAATGGGGGCCCCAAAAATGGCAGTTACCCTCCCTTCATGTCAGGGCCACTTTCCTTTTATACATCAATCCCTGGCAAGTCATCTACCCAACAATTGGGATGAGGTTAATACTTTGCACCAGACAGTCTGCTAGGTGCTGGAGATACAAAAATGAATTATGTACTCACACCTGAGGAAGCTGGTAGTCTTAGCCACATCCTGCTTGATTATCTATTTCTTTCTAGAAATGCAGAATTTTTTCTCCTGTACTCCACAGATGCATAACCTGCTTCGTCTTCTCCAGAAGACCCCTGCTTACTTTTTGCATGAAAAACCTTACATTTATGGGGTCCGGTGTGCCATCAATTCCCCTTCCTCTTCCTCGGTGTCCAACCTCCCCAGTCACAACCTTTTCTTCCAACTCAGGTTTAGAATCCCTTCCACTTGATTAAAATATGGTTTTTATTCTTTTCTTTTCTTTTTAAAAATTTTTTCAGCTGGGCGCAGTGGCTCACGCCTGTAATCCCAGCACTTTGGGAGTTCGAGGTGGGCGGATCACGAGGTCAGGAGTTTGAGACCAGCCTGGCCAACATAGTGAAACCCCATCTCTACTAAAAATACAAAAATTAGCCAGGTGTGAAGGCACGTGCCTGTAATCCCAGCTACTCAGGAGGCTGAGGCAGGAGAATTGCTTGAACCTGGGAGGCAGAGGTTACAGTGAGCCAAGATCGCGCCACTGCACTCCAGCCTGGGTGACAGAGTGAGACTCCATCTCAAAAAAAAAAAAAAAAAAATTCCTAAATTATTTTCTTCATTTTATCTAAGAAATCTAAAGAGTTCTTTCTTTTCTATTGGGAGCCTGTACCTCAATACACTCAAAGCCTACCTATTCTTCAAAATCTGGTTTGAAAAAAGGATAAATATCTCACTAATTTTTTAATAATGATTCCATGTTGAAATGGTAATAATTTAGATTTACTGGTCTAAAAATATATTATTAAAATTAATTTTACCTTTTTCTTTTTACTTTTTTAATGTGGCTACTAGAAAATGCAAACTTACATATGTGGCTGACGTTATATTTCTATTGGGTGGTGCTGATCTAGAGTAACATCATTAACCTTCTTAAATCAGAACAGGGCAATATTAAATATTTTATCTGGACTTTCATGCAATCACCTTATGAGTGGAGTGATAATACTGCTATGTTTGCCCAGGTCAGTCCCACTTTATGTCTATTGTACAAGGGTAAATTATTAGTAGTGACCCCTTTTACTATTAAAAGAGCCCTGGTTGAAATAAGTTCTGAGTAAAGATACATCTGGAGCTCTTGGGTTACTCTGCAGATTCTTCTCTCAGAAGAGCCAGTGATCCCCCTAACCAGTGTGGCCATGGCAAGGATCTCAGCTCTGTCCAGAGAGACCCTCTTCTCTGTGGTCTTTAAAGTTATCTACCTGCCCCATCAGCACTCCCTTTGGATAGAAGAAACACTTCTTACTTGGAATCTCAACTAAAAATAATCTTCCATTTATGATTACGATGGACAGCATGATACTTCCTGTCCAACACTATGAAACATTTATCTGACAAATAATTATAGGTTGAATTCACAGGTATTACCCTTGAATTCACTCATGATATGTTTTGTGTACATTGTATATGTAAACTACAAAAATGGTCAGATACGTACTCCACCTACTGTTGGCCATTCCACTTCCCAGTTCAGCCACCTGAAGGAAGCCTGCAGCCTAGTGGGCTAGGGACGGAGATGAGATATAGCCCTTGCTGAACCTCAGCCTCTTCACCTCCAAGTAGTTTTGAGGATAAATTCTACCTCACAGAAATTGTGAAAATTTAATGAGATCATAGTTATTAATTAAGTCCTCATCAGAGTACCATGCACATGCAGGGGCTCAGTTAACACTTTTTCTCTTGCCTTTTCCTAAAGCCAAATTCACTCTCTTAAAAAAAATGGAAGAAGGTGACGATGATTTTGATTTTTTAACTTATTATAGAAAGCCTGCTGGCATTTTTGCCTCTTCCTTGGCTCTTGGTGCAAAGTAGCCTCAGCCTTATTAGAGTGCTTTGCATCTAACCTGTGGGTTGCATTCCATCAAGTGAGGAAAGGCTTCCTCAAATATTCTCTTACTCAATATAATATCCATAACACCTCCAGGTAAGCTTGATAACCCAGGGAGCTGCCTAAGGAATCTGTTCCTTTGGGTTGTCTATGGCTCCCAAATGGTTGTGAAAGTTTTATTTAAACCTATAATGGGAAAGGGAGAAATGCCACTTAATGCATAAGCTGCTACCACCATCATAGATGTGACAAATGGACAACTGACAGTGTAGATCCTGCCAATTACAGAGCTGCTCATTGCCTCTGCTTTTGATAAACATCAGTCATTACAGGGGCTGGAGAAGCTGTGTTTCCCAGTCATTTGGGAAGGGTGCTTTTTTTATTATTATTATTATGCCCTCTATCTCTTCCTTATTGAGTGTACCTTCTGGCATCAGCCATACGTGCTGGCTGCATCATTAGGTGCTGAAACTTCACATCTTAATTCTGTGTGAGAGGTTTTCTCTGGGGGCGATGGTGCATCTGTGGAAAAAGAACCTGAGTGTACAATGAAGGTGATATGTTAGAGGATGTTGATGGTATATTTAAGGAAACAGCTGTCCAGAAATGCTTTTCTTTTTTGGGGGTGGGTGAAAGGGAGAAGAGTAAGAACTGGCTTGGTTTGGTTGTCGAGAGACTAATGTGGAAAGTGTTGGCCAGGCTTAGAGGTTTGCGAAGGAAAAGCTGTAAAGTACTTAACTCGAGCAGAAATGAACATGGATTTAGGATGTGGAATAATTTGCTGAACTTATGTTCTCTTTATATCTGGGAGGCTCATAAGCTATTGAGCAATATCAGCAATTCCCACTTTCTTTTGGATGCTTCTTCATATTACTTAATACTCTTTTTGACAGAAAGGGGACTAAACCAGGATGAAATTATGGTTTAATTTTTTAATGTAATTCCTTGTGAAACAAAAAGATGTCTGTGTTCAGTAGCTGGATAGATGTATGGCAAAGAGGGGAAAGGCAAGCTGTGTAACATCAGGACTAGTTTCTATAGCAACAAAAATGTTAGCCATCCTTTTGGCTGATCCTATTAATCTGGAGTAGAAGCAATGATACTGACACATTCGAAATGTATTTAAACCAGAAGGTGAAAATATAACCCAGCTGTAGATTTTAAATAGAGGTAGAGTTAGGCACCAGCATGATGGGACTTCGAAATAGCTATGATGTAAAAGAAAGTAAGAAATTCTCAATTGCAGCTTCTGGATTTAATTTTTTTTTTTAAGTGACTAAGCTTTTCACCATAAGTTAATTTAAATCTTCTTGGACCCAACTACGAAAGAAGGAAAAGGGGAAGTTTTAATCAGTGTGTATTATTCAGAGCTGGGCTGTCTTTTCAGTAGCATTGGCTCAGAGGAAATATTTGACATTAATTGTTTTTAAGATGGTGAAATGCGTAACTTTGGGAAGCTCCTGACAATTGTGCATGTTCTCAGCAAGCAAACAGTGGGTTTCTGAGAGAAGGAATCCAGTCTTTGGGCCCGAGCATCATGTGGCTGGTTTCTGCTCTTTTAACTACAGCAGGGCTAGTTTGACGCCTGTGAACAGTCACTGGTTTCTGTTAATGGAGGTAATTGTCTTGGCCCTGTGTACTTTGCACGGCTGCTCTGAAGACCAAATGAGATAATGGATGTGGAAATACTTTGAAAGAAGCCTAAAGTGCTATAGGGATGTAAAGGATTATTATTATTAAGGAACTACCAAAGAAATACTCTTTTCTAAATAGCACTAGTTGCAGACAGAGTTTAGGAGGTGAGTTATAAATTCTGAAATCTGGGTCAGCAATTTGAGTTTTTTTCTCCTAGGGAGACTATAAAGCTATTATTCTGTGCTATTCCCCTTTGGTGCCTCTTTTTACTTTTGGATTATTTAAATGGCTAAATATTTTCCCACTTTTCAAAGCAGCATGACAGTTCCCAGTATATTTTGCTGTGGGAGCACAAGATAAATGGGAATGCAGATCCGTGTCATTATGATAAAATATCATCTTTTCATCTTTATCTTAGAATTTCAGACTCCTCAGGAAAGATGACCGCCTCTCTTTATGGGAAATGAATTTGCCAGCAAAGAAAGCTCTCTCTTAACTTGTTCTTGATTCTTCCTGTTTCCAAAAGCATAAGGGAAAATTAGCTCTAGCTACTATCATTAGTTTATTGATATTAAAACTGTTTCCACTTCCTCCACCCACTCCTTAAATCTCTAAAAATGACTGTGAAACAACAGAAAAGAATGGAGACAGAAACCAGCAAGGAAAATTAAAAGAGCACATACTGTTTGATTAACCAGGATATCCTCCGTAAAGGAACAGAATCTGTTTTTAGAAATGAATAGCAAAAGGTCTGGATGTTTCTACCCCTGTCTGGATGCACTTTCTTATATTTCAGAAATAATTAACACGAACAAAGCAAAGGAGATGCTTTCAACTGCGCCTTGAAATAAAATCTTTCTACACAAACTGCGGCTGGGGATATGTTGCTGTCATGTTGAAGCCCTGCTTCATGACTGATGATCTGGGAGGTTCCCCAAATCTCAGACTTTGTCTACATCCATCAGTCATATAGTCAAATATGTATATAGCACTATGCTAGGCTCATGGGGATAGAAGAAGGGAGGGTAAGAGAATATAGTAACTAGAGATTTTTTAAAAAAATTTACTAAATTTCGGGCACCAAGTTGCTATCTTTCTGTTAGTTCATAAAATTAAAGTAAAATTAACTTCATAGAGTTGTATAATTGAAGAGGCTAGTTGATTGGTTAGAATTAACAGATTTCAAAATTCCTGTTTGTCTTTCAGCACTCGGATCTTCTGTGAAGGTTTCCTAATTGCCCCGTTAACCATATGTATATATATACACACACATTATATACAAATAAATATTATATATATATATATAATGTAGTTATTAGCAGACTTGATTTAGTAATCAGATATATATTCAAGTTTAAGCTACATCACATACTAGCTGGGTGACTCTGGGCAACTTCCGTTTCACCTGCTGTAAAATGAAGAGCAATAGAACCTAATGCGTAGGGTTTCACAAGCATTAAATAAGAGAATGTATGTAAGCTGCTTAGCCAAATGGGTAACACATACTAAGAATCCAGTAACTATTATTAATAATAATTACAATTATTAGCATTACTGTCAATATTATCCAGTATTTTGACCCATCCATTTTATTTCATTTATAAAACAAAGAAACATATTTTACTACCAAGTGAAAGGTATAATTAGTATCTTCCTGTCTCTGATGCTTGCCCCTTCTAGGGAGGACTTAGAGGTAGAGAAATGTTTAGGGACATGGGGCGTTAGAAGTGTAGTGAGACTCGGGGTTTGAGAAGGACTTGGCAGTGGAGGAATGCATGTCTATTGCACATATTCCTTTGTGTTTTAAGGCAGCATTTTTATATCTTACTCAATCATTTTGATATTTCTATTTCCAAATGCCTTGCCCATGTCTTGACATGTACTGACCATCATTATAACACCCCTCACACTCTATAGTATTATCTAGCTCTCTTTCTCTAACTGTTATATTGTGATCAATAGAAAGCAGAAAATTACATATGGTGCTTTTTCAACTTACCCATCTAAATATCAAGTATTATTCCAGGGAGTTCAGGAGGTGAGTATTTGTTGGGTGAATAAATAGACAAAGTATTTTTTAAAAAATTAATAAAAGTCCTTATTTTAAAAAATTTCTGAGGACGCATTGAAGCCCTCCCTAAGACAGTGTGATGAGTAAATATTGCTGCCTATATGCTTTGAGCTGGCCAGTTTGCAGCTAGGCAGAAGAATAAGCTATTGAAACCTTTTGGAATATGAGCTCTGTCCTTGGGTGAAGAGTGACATTTTTCTGGGCTTGAGGAAAGCACGGACTTAGATGCTCTGAGAGGGTATGAATGAATGACCTCTCACATTATACCAGCTGTATTATGGATAGGAAATAGGCCGCTTTGCAGCTCTAGCTCTCATTTCTGATTCACACACTCAAATCAATAATTTTGAGTGGGGCAGCCAGAAGAAGAGCCAGTGTTGCCTGACATTGAGTGTTGCCTGAGGAGCCCTCCACCCTTGGCTGCCAAGAAGTGTGACCTGCTCGTTCAACGTTGGCAGCCTGAGCTGAGAGCCCCAGGCAGCTCCTCCTGAAAGGCCAGAACAGAAAATATCTTCCAGAGCTGCAGGGGGATGGGGATGGAGAGACGAGGATGCTCGTGATGTCTGACCCTTCATGGGCAGCTGGCCATAGCCTGGACCTGACATCTGAAGCAATCAGAAGAATGCTTCTAGCATTATCTATTTTCATTCAAAGACCATCTTCTTCCTTTTATGCAGTTGGTCCAGGAAGGAACCTCCACATTACCAATGCTTTGGATCTTTGCCTTCTCTCTTTGAATGACCCATCTTAATGCCAAGCTCCCTCCAATTATTGCTCTCTGCCAATCACAATGATAAATATAATAATCGTAATAACTAATATTTGTTTAATATATATTATGTGCCTGGCACAATTTAAGTGCTTCACCTCTCTTCATTCAGTCTTCCCCACAAGTTAAGGAAACTGAGGCACAAGGTAAAATATATGATGACTAGAGAGAAATTCAGGTATAGCTGAGTAAGCCTATGAAGATTGAGTCATAAAGGGCATAATAGAATTATGAGATAATTTCGTCTTGAGGGATAAGGAACAGAATGAGAAGGTGAGAAGGGGACATGCCATTGCACAAGGACATAGATATGTAAAGGACACTTTTGTTTACTGCTCTTGGTTAGCGCAGTACCCGGTACATAATAGGCATACGGTAATCCTAGGTTGAAATGAATCAAATAACATATTTGTGTCAACATTGCAAATTTTGAAAAACAGAGTGGTAGGCCAGACGTAGGAGTGATAGCCTGGTATTGATCATTTTCAGAAGAAGTGGATGAGTGAAGAAGGCTTTTATAAAAGTGAGGGTAAATTTTATGACGGCAACTCACAGATTTCTCATAATAATGAATTCTCCATTAAATGTCCTCCTAATCCACACTGGCTGATGAACACTTGAAATAGAAAGTTCTCAGCAAAGTCTATGGGAGTAGCAACATATCAGAGCAGACGAATGCAGTATGTCATCAAAAATTTCAGGAGTCAAAAGGAAGATGGGACTGTTTGACTGGACTGTGTTTGAAAGCCAGATAATGAATGATGATCCCAGCTGTGTGCTGTAATTCATATGAGCTGTGTGTTGTTCTATCCATATTAGCCATAGCTTCAGTCACTCGTAACTTAACCGGCTTTGGAGAAAGAACATAACAACTAGAGGAAGGTGTTGAGGTGCACCTGCAAGAGCACCTCACTGGGAGTCATGACGGCTGCATGGCATAGTGAGATGGAACCTTAGAGGTCACCTAGTTAAAGGAAATCTTAAGGTAGAGCCGAAATCAGTGAAACAGGTAAAAGCAATGAACAGACTACTGTAGTGGTGTAAATCTTCATCATTTGGCAGACAAGGACTTCTCACTGTTTATGGATCTCCCAGAGCACACACATATATGGAGAGCATTACTTTGAGCTCAGTACTCTCACTTTACCAGTGAGGGAAACGTTGGCACACAGCAGAGAAACGGCTCCCTCAATATCATCCAGATGGCCAGTGGCAAAGTCTGAGCCCAACAGGGATCCAGAAATCTTGACTCTGCTTTTGTTTGAGAAATATTTATTGAACAGCTACTATGTTAAGGACACTGCCAGCCTGGAGGATACATTAAAAGATCATGTTCCTGTTCTTAAGATGCTTGGAGACCATTGCAAAAACCATTTTAATTCAGTGCAAAAAGTGCAAAATTAGAGATATGTACATATTACCGTTTACCCAGATATCACAAATTCAGACGTTTCGGGGGTCAAGCAGGTAGCATGCTGACAATAAGCCATGGGGGCAGCTGAAGAAACCAGAATATGTTTGTTGAGTGCATTCTGTTCTTTTTTTTTTTTTTTAGTTGAAAATATGGGGGAAGGAAAACAAAATACATTTATGATTTCTGGACAACTAGTTTGCTCCCTTGGGTACCTCTCTTTACATTTTACAAAGCTCTTTCATATATCAAAGCTTAAATTTACAGTAACAAATGCATTTAGCATCACAATTTAATACCTACATACAGATATATAAGCGAAAAAAGAATTTTACAAAGCTGTACTTACTATGGGTGAGTTACTTCCCATTCCAGTTCAGTCCAGTCCAGTTCATTCTATGTGATTCCATTCCAATTCTATTTTGTTTGGAAAATTGTAGTTTTGGCCGGGCATGGGGTCTCATGCCTGTAATCCCAGCACTTTGGGAGGCTGAGGCGGGCAGATCACGAGGTCAGGAGATCGAGAACATCCTGGCTAACACAGTGAAACGCTATCTCTACTAAAAATACAAAAAATTAGCCGGGTGTGGTGGCGGGTGCCTGTAGTCCAAGCTGCTCTGGAGGCTGAGGCAGAATGGTGTGAACCCGGGAGGTGGAGCTTGCAGTGAGCTGAGATCACGCCACTGCACACCAGCCTGGGCAACAGAGCGAGACTCTGTCTCAAAAAAACAAACAAACAAACAAAAAAAACAAAAAGAAGAAAAAAAGAAAGAAAGAAAATAGTAGTTTTAATCCAGGAAACTAATTTCCAGACCCACAAATGGTTCCTGAATCATAGTTTGTAAACCCCTGCTACAGCATCGTAGCCTCAAACAGCCCTGTGAGCTACGTAGGTAGTGCTTGCCATTCCCATTTTAGGTATGAGAAGAACAGACTCTCAGGGCACTAAGCGATTTGCTCACACTCATACAATGAATGAGTAGCAGGCCTGGACTGGAAACACAGTCTCCTGGTGCCTGAGCCATGTGGTCCTTCAAGGAAACCTCACAGCCCTGACAGACTAGAAGACACTAATAAGAGCGGGTTCCAACTCAGATTCAAATCTTGATTTTGCATTGCCCTTGATAACAGGAAGTTCTTCATTTCCTGACATTTATTTCTTGTCTCCATCTATTTGTTGGAATTGCCTCCTCTTGGGCCCTCAGTATGGAATAGTCTTCCAAGAAGGAAACAGATTTAAATACAAACTCGATAGCTCATACATGCTCTTTGCAGTGTCCTGTGTGCAGTTTGAGAAATCCCAGCAAGCCGCTTTCCTGATGTTTTTGTGCCATTTTTTGACCCTGAGAGAGTGGCAAATGAATATATATTTTTCTAGAAATTTCAGGCAGTTGCCATCATGGTGCTGGCTGAAGGAAGCTTCTTGAGCCCATATGTAAACCCTGCTGCTGCTGTTTTCCTGCAAGTTTAATAAGGCCAGGGCCATAATTGTAAATATTTAAAAACTTGATGTGTGGCCAGATGGATTCATTATAGACTATATCTGTACTTAGATTCATATTTTCCAGTTCAGCGCTGGAAATGTCACATAGAAAGACACACGGGGTTCAGGATCAGCTCTGCATCTAAATGCCAAAGGTAAAACACTCATTTGTGTCCTCGCCTCCAATTTTTCTAACAGTTCTTCTTATTTAGCCTTGCCCACACATAGACGGGAGCCTGATGAAAAAATAATAGATATAAATTGTGCTTTAGTCATTGGCTGTTTATCTTAAGAAGAGAAACTTGTTTCCAGGCTGCCTGATAATTGGACATCCAAAAAGTTCACTAAGAAAGTGAGAGAATGGGATAACCAAGAGTGAAAAGGACAAAAATATTTATTTTCTTTCATTAGACAATGGGAAGAGGGTGCTGATCCTTTCATTTTTCTAAGTTGTGGACTTTATTGTTTATTGAGTTTGACATCTGCTACCTAAACAGTCTATGAATTATCTATAAGGCTTCGATGCAATAAATTCCCATCTTCGATTCTCTACCGAGGGTGGAGAGCTGCAGCGGATCAGGCTCGTGGAAAGAAACTGTAGTCTTCTCTTCATTTAGTTATTCCTCCATTGTTTCATTCAATAAATATTTATTCTGTGCTTTTCATCTAACAGCTCCTACACAGCATATTCACTTCAACGTCAACTCTACCTGAAATGTCTCCTATGAACTAAACATGACTTAGACCTCCCCCTTCTGTGTTCCCATGGGTTAGCGCAATGAAAGCACTTACCGCATTGTGAGATAATTGCTAGATTTACACATCTGCCTGTTCCTCTGCTGTGAGCTCCTTGAAGGCAGGGACTGTGTCTTAATTTGCCTTTGTGTCCCAATACAATGCACAGTGTTTACCACACAAAAGGATCTCGATGTTTGAGATATTTGAAAATATGATGATGAATGAGTCTTTGCTCAGGAGGAGTAAGACACATATTCTCATCAGAATCTAGCCTTGCAATCTAAAAGATATGCAAGTGTTCTATATTGGTTCTTAAGAATTGATTATCATTTTGCCATTCCTTTAGTTATTCAAGGTAAAGAAAGGCTGCCATGTTATTTCATATTTCACCTGAACATAATGCTTTTCTCTTCACACTCTCTCATTGCTATGTCAAGTGCTTTCCTGTTAGACATCTATATTATAGATGCATATAAGCATGTCTTTGTGTAGAATACATAATGATATATATGATATACATACGTATGTTTAAGTGTGTATATTCTTATGTGTGTGTATTCACACATAAACACATATAATGTGTGATATGATCCTTTAAAAGACTAGCTTGAAGATTGAGTTTTATACGTGTGGTAGTGTAGACCACACACCAGAGCAGCAGTTGAAACAATCTGTCTAGACTCACTAAGGATGTGGCCACAAGGGGAAGTTCATGTTCTCTCTGAGCCTCTGTTTCTTCATCTGTAAAATAGGGATTGTGAAAGCTGTCAATCCTCCCTCTAAGGGGTTAGTATGAGCCTCAAGTGAGCTAAAATAGGAAAACCTTTTGCTGATTGAATCTATGTAAAGAATTAGAAAATATTAAATGAGCCATGTTTATGACAAGATTGCATTTAACAATGCCATTTACTGTTTGTGAATCTGAATGAGAAAAAACACACTTTCAGAGAGGTTCCTGGCACAGGGTTGCAGTTTTGAGAGTAGTGCTGGCACTGTTGAATGTATTCCTGCCTGTCTGGCAGCTGCGGAGCCCACTTGTCAAATTCCTTGGGGTCTGTTCCCTTGCTAACATTGACCTCTATCTGCGGCCTCCCCTTCCTTCGCCTCCACTGTTGGCATGCATGCACACATCTTCACTCAAGGGAAGCATATAATTCTGCATTTTAGGGTCATTTCTAAGTGGTCTGTGGCCCCTTCTTTGTCTCTGAGTTTCCCTTGCCTTTTTTCTTTCTTTCTTTTCTTTCTTTCTTTCTTTTTTTTTTTTTTTTTTTGGCAATGAATCCCAGGTTGTGTGTTTTTTCAGGGACTTGGGTGGCTGGAAAGGAGACTTCTTGAGAGCTGTTTCCAGAAGAAAGACCATGGACTCTTCCCTCTGGAATACACTAATCTTTAGTTTATGCAGGAATTTTGTCTTTTTATACTGGCACCTTCTCCATGAGGCTACTTCATGGAATGTGTCCCATTCCATCAACAAATAAAACTAAGAGCAGGATACCTTTGCCATTCAGAAGAGGAAATTCTATTTCCTAAATTTAAAAAGGAGAGGTGTAGGCTTCAGAGGCTAGGTGGGAACCAATATTATTCTTTACATGTTGACACAAGACTCTTTAAAAATGTTCTTCTGCCTGAAGTCCTTTGGTGACTTCCTACTGACCATCTCCTCACTAGGCTAAGCTCCTCACTAGGCCCTGTAGAACTTTACATATTCTATCCCTGCCCTGAGAACAGCATTGTCAACAGTCACACCCACATGGCTTGGGTTACCTAGAGCATCAATTTTTCCATCCATCCACTAGTTTTGTTTCTTTTCAACACATTCCTTGAGCACATACTATGGGCTGGACAACTGTGTGGAGCACTAGGGATGGAGCAGGGAACAAGATCATGCCCATGATAGCAAGGACTTTGTAGTAGGCTAAATAGTGGTTCCTGAACATATTCAGTTCTTAATCCCCAAACCTTGTGAATGTTACTGCATTCGTCCATTCCCACATTGCTATAAAGAAAAACCTAAGACTGAGTAATTTATAAAGAAGACAGATTTAATTGGTTCATGGTTCTACAGACTGTACAGGAAGCATGATGCTAGCATCTGCTCAACTTTTTGGGAGGCCTCAGAAAACTTAGAATCATGGCAGAAGGCAAAGGGGAAGTCAGAACTTCACATGGCTGAGCAGGAGGAAGAGGAGATGGGCGTAGGTGCTACACACTTTTAAACAACCAGATCTCAGGAGAACTCACTATCACAAGAACAGCACCAAGGGGGATTGTGTTAAAGCATTCGTGAGAAACCACCCCCGTGATCTAATCACCTTCCACCAGCCCCCACCTTCGACATTGGGGATTACAATTTGACGTGAGATTTGGGTGGGGACACAGATTCAAACCATATCAGTTATCTAATAGGGCAAAAGACACTTTGCAGATGTGATTAAGTTAAGGATCTTACAATAGGAAGATTATCCTGGATTATCAGGTGGGCCTTAAGTGCAAAAGCAAATGTACTTACAAATGAGAAATGGGGAGATTTGATAGAAGAAAAGGAGAAGGCAATGTGACCATGGAAGAGAGATTGGAGCGATGTGGCCAGAGCCAAGGAATGCTGGCAACTGCTAGAAGCCGGAAGAGGCAAAAGCCAGATTCTCCCTAGATCTTCCAGAAGGAAATAGTCCTACTAACACCATGATTTTAGCCCTGTAAGACTCAGTTCAGACCTATGGTCTACAGGACTGTAAAAGAGTAACTTTCTGTTGCTTTAAGCTACTAAATTGTGATAATTTGTTATAGCAGCAATAGAAAGCTAATAGAGACCTTAGGGCCTAGTTGTAAGCAGGCAACTTCAGTATGAGAAGTCCTACTTTTAGGGAAGTACAGGACTTTTGGGAGATGCAAAGTGAGGTAACATATCTTGGTATTGGGCCATTGGTGAATGCTTTTTGGAGGGTGTGACATCTCAGCTGCACCCTGACAGCTGAGGATGAGTTGTTAATCAAATGAAAGAGGTAAGGCCAGGTCAGATGGTCATAGGCAGAGCAAGATTTATGTACAAAGTGTACCTCGCTGCTTCACACCTTTATGCCTCTCACCTGCTAGTATCTTTTCCCTTTTCCTCCCTGCCCTCCCAACCTACTCCCACACAAATACACACACACAGTTATTTCACATATGCACACTTCCTAATTTGTTCACTTGGCTAATTTTTATTCATTATTCAAGATTGCTCCTGTGTCCCCTCTATAGAAAAGTCTTCCTCTTCTCTCCCTCCATCACCCTGTGCCATCCTCCTCTGTCTCCCAGGAAGAGTTCATCAACAGGCAATAGGCCCTCTTCTCTTAAGGAGCCCCCCTTCTTAATGATACAGCTCTGAATCATAGAAGTGATGTGATGATGTGTTAGAAAAATCCCTGAGCAGAATTGAATGCCAGCCTCAGCTACTGCCTTTTTCTCCCTCTCCCCTCATGAATCTAAAAGGCTGGGGGAGAGAAGGTTTTAACAGGGAGACTCTTATGGCAGTGGCAACTGAGTTGGAAACTCATCAGGGAAGGTTTTATGGTCTCCTAGCAAATCCCTGCAGGCTGCTGTGTTAGGATCCTTGGTACAGGTGTTGTGCAACAGGAAATTTGGAAAGCCCTAATAACACTTTCTGATTAGCTGGACCTTCAGGGTCAGATGGGGTTTTGTCTTGGTTGCTGCTAGAATACTTTAAGATCTTTCAAGGAGGAGAGGCACAGTAGGAAACACGGATGTTCTAGTCATATTTGACATGTAAGAGTAAGAGGTCAGGTTAATTTTCTCTTTCTCCTTCCTTCCACCTAGAATAAAAGACAACAACTGCGTGATCGTAGATTTTTGTTTTCCATTTTTCAACTCGTTGCTATGGTGTCATGTGGGGAGAACCCATCTGCAACTCATAGTGTTTTGTATCAGGAGGCGACTGTCAGTCCTCAATTAATTATTCATGCTTTCATTAGGAGCAATAATGAGAAACAGTTTAAATGACAGGTTTCTCGGATTACCGAGAACCCTAAAATATTAGTTTATCCTTTGCTTAGCAAAACTTTTTAAGGTAAAGGGAGTACTAACTTTGAAATCAGAAAGATCTTAGTTTAAATCCCAGCCACTTAAATAGCTATGTTTTAATGTAACATTTATTTTACTTCTTTCAGTTTTCTTGTCTATAAAACAGGGATAATGATACCTGCCTCTGGGAGATGCCTAAGGTTAAAGATAGTGATGACAAAGCATTTAACATAGTGCCTGATATAATAGTTGGCTCAGTGTAGCTGTTCAATTAATAGTATTTCTTAGTGATAGGAAAGCTATAATGAACAAAGTGTTATTCTGATCTGGTTTAACTTAATTCACAGTTAGTCATCCTGTTGATTTTGAATGATGCTTTTCTGCTCTTGAGTATGAAACTTCTACTTGGAGATACAATTGCCAATATGCAAATGGTCATGTATCTATATGTGGAATATATTCATCACAGTTATGAAATATGAGGGCATTAAATTGCATTTATTAAATATATTAAATGCTTCTCTGTTTGTAGGTTCATATTTTCCGAGGAGCTTCTGTGATTCTATTTAGCCCCCAAAGTCTGTGAAGCAGCGTCTGTCCTTGAGAACACTATGTTCCATTATGTTCACTGGAAAATAGGAAGGTTACACCTTCTCCTAAAGCTCACACAGAGTTGCAATCTAGTTCACAAGCAGCCGAGTTCAGCAAAGGATAAATGACATGAAAACCTGCTCATGTTATATGATGAGGCATAAGTGATTCTATGACTTCTTTGTCCCTAAATAATTGGAGTAGAATCAAATGAGATAACGCATGTGAAAGCATTTTGAAAACTAAAGTTTTCATTATAATGGATCATTATTATTCTAATTAATACTAATATGAAGAACCTAATATAGCATGGACCAATTATCAAAATAAGAGTATTCCTAAAGTTGTGAACATTTGGTACTTAGTTTTACACTGTTTTGCTTTGTTCTGTAATTGTTTCATACATTTTAATCTTACCATTCTACCCTAAGTAAATTCTGGTTACAGTACAATTCATTATTTCAAAGCCATTTTCTGAATGCTTACCATGTGCCAAGCACAGAGCTAAGTAATGTGGCCAACTGGGTGAATTAGATGCTTTTCCTACCCTCACTACGCTTTCTCTCTGGTGGAGGAAGCTATCAGTTGAGGGTTGACTAGAATACAGGGTACCGAGTGCTCTGACAAGCTCAGGGACTCTGAGAGCACAGAGGGTGGACTAGGGCTAAGATTCAAAGAATAGTTACAGTTAACCAGAGAAAACTAGAGGAGTTTTTTCTAAGGAGAGAAAACAGCATGTGAAAAGGCTCAGGGGTATGTGTGTGTGTGTGTGTGTGTGTGTGCATGTGCATGTGTGTGTGAGAGAGAAAAAGAAAGAGAAAGGGAGAGTCAGAGAGAGAGAGGGAGAATATAATACAGTTGACCCTTGAGCAATGCAGGAAATAGGGGCACTGGTCACCACATAGTTGAAAAACAACATATATCTTTTGACTCCCCCAAAACTTTACTAATAGCCACTTTTGACCAGAAGCATCGCTTATGAACAGTCTAATAACAAACACATCTTTTGAGTGTTATATGTATTACATACTGCATTTTTACGATAAAGCTAGAGAAAAGAAAATGTTATTAAGAAAATCATAAGGAAGAGAAAATATATTGACTGTTAAGTGGAAATGGATTATTATAAAGATCTGCATCCTAATCATCTTCATGTTGAATAGGCTGAGGGAGGAGGAGAAAAAAGAGGGTTGGTTTTGCTGTCTCAGGGGTGTTTGAGGAAGAAGAGATGAAGGACGTTAAAGGCAAGGTGGGAGAGGCGGGCACACTCAGTGTAACTTTTATTGAAAAAAAATTTTTAATATAAATTGTAGGTATAAGTGGATCCACACAATTTGAATTTATGTGGTTCAAAGGTCAATTATGCATTTGTAGGACTACAATAATTCAGCATAGAAGACAGGATATGATGAGGCAGTATTTGGGATGAAGCTGAAGAAGTTTTAATTATCTATTGCTGCGAAACAGGTTAACCAAAATCTTGATGACATAAAACAAGAAGAAAATGATTTAATTGCTCACACTACTTTAATTTGGTCAGGGGCCTGGGGGAAAGTTGTCTCTGCTCCAAGTGATACTGGCCTAGGCTGCATAGTCACAGGGCGTCACTGTGACTTTTCTGCTCTTGAGTATGAAACTTTTACTTGGAGATACAATTGCCAATTGTATCTGCCCTATTCAATTGATCAAACCAAGTTATAGGGCCCTCCCAGATCTGAGGTAAAGGGAAATAAGGTCTACAGGGGCAGAGTAAGTATACAAGTAAGTATACAGAGATGGAAGGAATTGTTAGTAGCTGTGATTTTTCAGACAGTCCACTACAGAAGTGTAAACATGGAGAATGGACTGGAGAAGGTGGAGCCAGTTGCAGAAAGGCCAGTTAGGAGCTAGTGCTATAGTCTGGGGAGCACTGAGAGCCTTGACTATGATCATGCCAGTCGGGGAGAGCACACATAGGTTCATTCATTCATTTACTCATTCAACAAACATTTGCTGAGTGACTACTACATGCAGGTGTGCTAAGAATTCAGCAACAGACAAAACAAACAAAATCCCTGTCCTCTTGGAGCTTACATTTTAGTGGGGGAAACAGAAAGTAAATATGATAAGTATATAAAACATGTTTTAAAGAATAAAAACAATGGAGAGAAGGGAAGTGGGACGTATTAGGGAATGTGTTAATTTTTGGTAAAGTACCCAAAGAATGGTTTACTGAATAAAGAGGTAAAGGAGTTAAGGAAATATGCTATGTGGCGACTGGGGGAAGACTATTCCAGGTAGATGGAAGAACGAGCAAAAAGGTTTTATATTCGTTTTCTAGGGATGCCATAACAAAGTACCACAAACCAGGCAGCTTAAACAACAGAAATGTCTCACAGGTCTGGAGGCTAGAAGTTTGAGATCAAAGTGTCAATAGGGTTGGTTTCTTTTGAGGGCAGTGAGGAGAGAATCTCTTCCAGGCCTTCCCCCTAGCTTCTGGGGTTTGTGGCCAGTCGTTGCCTTGGTTTGAAGACAAATCACCCCGATCCCTGCCTTCATCTTCACAGAGCATGCTTCCTTGTGTGCATGTCACTGTGTCCAGATGCCCCCTTTTCACAAGGACGTCAGTCTCATTGGATGAGGTTCTATCCTAATGACCTCATTTTAACTTGATTACCTCTGTAATGGCCCTATCCCCAAATATGATCACATTCTAGGTACTAGGGGTTAGGGCTCCAATTTATAATTTTGGAGGGACACAGTTCAACTCATAACAGGCCCCAAAGCAAGAATAGATCAGGCAGATAAAGCTGAAAGGAGGCCACATGACTAAGTAGAGTGAACAAAGGAAAGAGTACATGGAGACAAGTTCACAGAGATAACGGGGCCCAGAATGGGTTATAGGAAGAATGGCAGCTTTTCCTCTGTGAAATGTGTGAAATGGGAAGCCGTTGGAGTATTGAGGCACAGGAATGACATCACTTGTCTTCTATTTTTCCAAGATTGCATTACCTAATTTGTTAAGAGTAGACTGAAAGAGGTTAAGGGAAAATGGAGGAACATAGTGAGAAGGTGCCTCAGTAATTTAGAGGAGAAATAATGATGGTTGAACCAGAGTAACAACAGCAGAGTTGGTGAGAAATGGTCAGATTCTGGGTGTAAGGATTAGTTGATGAATCAGATGAGGGACTAAGCATAAAGGAGGATTTCAGGGTTCAGTACCTGAGCAATGGAAAGGTGGAGTTGCCATAAGCTCCAGGTTTAAGGAAATATATGAAGAACTCAGTCATGGGCATGTTAAGTGTGAGATGCCTATTGGATATCCAAATGGTGATGTCAGGACACCTAGATGTGCAAGTCTATATTTCCAGAAACAGTCCAGACTAGGGATATAAATTTGGAAGTCATCAATACGTTAATGATATTTGAAGACATACAACACAGAGGTATCTATAACAGTAAGTTACCTTCTCTGAGTTATTCTATGCAAAATAAAAGTTTATACTCCTCCCTCACAGCATTAAGTAAGAATCAAGTGAAAATAACCTGGGGAAAAGCACAGAAAACTGCAAAGCAGTATCCAAATGTGAGGGATTCATATAAAGGTCTCTCAATAAATGCTCATTATATGGGCTAAATTTTAAATTAGTGAAACCTTGGTGAATATCCTATGAATTTCTGCCCCTTGTTGATCTCTCCTAATGGCTGGGCTTCATTTCCAAGCACCTTGAAATACTTATATATTTCTTAAGGAAAGTCCATGCCTCTTGCGGACAGATATAATAGCTTCTTAATCCTTGCCCATCCAGAGTTCAGAAGTGGTTCTGAGAAAGTCCGTAGCAGCATGTAGAGGGTTAATCCTGCACCAGTGGGGATGTGCAAACCAGGAGCCATTCTAAATCTCAATACCACATGCTGCCTTAGGGATCATCATGTACTAAAGCCCAAGATAAAAAGGCCTGACAAAGATTATTGACAGTTTACCTTTTAATGAGCAGCTTGGATTGATTCTGTTCCCCTCTGGGATAGCTTTCTCTGTCCTTCCTCCACCCGAGAGGCTGTGGGGAACAACAACAACAAAAAATACAAATCTCCA
The DNA here is from genome assembly GCF_000001405.40 of Homo sapiens. Classification (NCBI taxonomy): domain Eukaryota; kingdom Metazoa; phylum Chordata; class Mammalia; order Primates; family Hominidae; genus Homo; species Homo sapiens. The sequence continues at coordinate 57,804,904 of NC_000001.11, read as the reverse complement.
ATTTGAATAATTGCAGGGATCTGCTTTCTAGCAAATAAAGTTTCCTCGGGTGAGAAATGGCTCATAGCTTTAAAAATATATATTTAGAATTGTTATGATTATCATGATGATTATTAAGCACTACCAGTACACTGGATATTTTCAAAGAGTCTGGTTGCCTCTAATTGGATATTCCTTGCAATTTCCCTCTGGGTAGGTCAGCAGTGTTAACTCTTAATCATCCAAAGCAATTAAATGCACGCATTTCTAACCTATGCACCAAAACCTGCTGAATTGTTAATATAGTTATAATAGTGGAGCCAGACATAAGGGTGCAGCTTAGGAGGAAGAGACTGGCAAGCAGTTCTGTGAACTCTTACACATCTGTTTTGGAGAGGGAAATCACGTATCTGCAAATGGTAATGGGTAGAAGTTCAGGAAGTATTGAACCCCAGGCTCAACCCAGTGTGCTTCTCTGTGGATCTAATTTCCCCTTTGCAGGGGGCCAGAGCTCCATCCAGACCACTGAGCCATTTGCTGAGCTCCAAAGGGAGTCCTTCAAGTCACCCCTTGTGGTTCCCAGAAGTGATTGGTGGTAAGAAGGATCAAAGAAGAAAAGAAGGAAGTTTGAGATAATCTTCTGGACAATTTTAATATGTTGTGATCCTAAGAAAACGGTTAAGTTCCATACCAGCTTTAGCCACCTCCCAACCGTGAATCTCACACTAACCCTGATTTTCAGCCCTGTGCCCCCATTTTGATCCATTGTAGAAATGGAAGGGGGAATGTCTGTAATACATATTTTTGATAGTTATGTTCTATGACCTCAAACTCACAATTCCAAACCATATCACGATGCCAGTAACCGGAATTTTTATTAGAACCCATAGGAGACACATATTTTACATTTTGACTCAGCTCATATATTTGCAGCTGAAACATAGAACAACAATCACCTTTTTTACATGCAGCACATTCTGATATAATCTGTTCTGTTCCATTTGTTGTAAAAAAGAGGTAACCATCACAATTAAATTGATGAGTTATAATACACAGTTTGAAAAACACTGAGCTAGGAAAAAGCAAGGAAGTCTCCGGCATATGGTCCCAAAAATCAGTGACACATAGTTAGAGTAGCTTATCTCAAGAGAAAACAGAGCCATGCCAAGTGAGAGCTTCATAAAGACTTTCTTCCTGTAGCTTTTTTCAAGGTCTAGTTCTAGATCCAGAGAACAAGTCTAATGCACTAAAACTGACATTGACGGAGTCACAGGATTTCATCGTGGGCTCTTAATGTTGGTCAGACCCTAGTTCTGTGACCTGGATTTTCCCAGATCATCTAACAACCATTTAAATCTTAGATCTGGCACCAGATTGCTGGGTATTTGTTGTTTGTCCCTCCACATATGCAATGTACTCTTCCCTCCTGCTCTGTGGCAGGAAGACTGCATCAACTCAGGTTGTTTTCCTCTGGCTTCTGTATGGGTTCCCCAATGGTAGGCATCAGCAGAGGAAAGGAACGTAGGAGAAAGAGGTCAGAAACTCTATGTTCTTAACTCCCCCTTTAACAGGTTATGGGTTGATAGTTGCTGTGTCACATCCCCTGCAGGGTAGCTTCCTGTAGTTACAGCCACTGCTGTAGTCCACTCTAGGTTATGGCAACTTTCCTTTGCCCTGGAGATCAATGAGTACAGTTCACTACAATTTGCAAGTAACGATGTGGCATCCTTGTAAATTTTTCCTTCTTTGAACCCTCCTCAATCTCCATTTTTTCCATCAATTTCATTTTGGGGCTTGTGGTAGACAGCTTAAACATTCTTTCAAGGAAGGACAAGTTACCAAGCTGCATGGAGTGAGGTCGGCAGGCAGATAGCCTCCAGGTGTCAGCTCCTTCAGGGTCTGCCCCAGCTTCAGAGACACACCTTGCCTGGGTCCTGCTCTTCCTGGTCAGCTCTCTTCTGGTGACTGAGTGAGGCAAACAAGTAGACCTAGAAAGGCCAGGCTATTTAGGCCAGATGCAGGACAACCATGACAGACTGTTAATCTGTTCTCACACTGCTATTTAAAAAATACCAAAAACTAGGCAATTTATAAAGAAAAGAGGTTTAATTGGCTCACAGTTATGCAGGCTGTACAGGAAGCATGGCTGGGGAGGCTGCAGGAAACTTTCAGTCATGGCGGAAGGGGAAGTGGGCGTGTCTTACTTGGCCAGAGCAGGAGGAAGAGAGAGAAGGTGCTACACAGTTTTAAACAACCAGATCTCATGAGAACTCACTCACTCTCATGAGAACATCAAGGGGGAAGTCTGACCCCATAATCCAATCACCTCCTACCAGGCCCCACCTCCAACAATGGGGGTTATGATTCGACACTGGATTTGGGCAGGGACACAATTCCAAACCATATCACAGACAATATTCGTTCCAGAGCTCTCCGCTAGGCTCGACAGGCTTTGTTGGGTTTGCCTCCCAATTCAACTTCTCCCTCTGTCCACTCCTTCCCCTTTAGGTGTTGATCTCTGTTTAAAATCTGGTACCCCAATTGTGTCTCTGCATCTTCCTCCAGAGAACTCAATCTGTGACAGAAAACAAACTGACCAACAGCCAGGGTAATCAAAAGGCCTATTTTAGCACCAGAGATATCACTATATTGGTCTTTCTACCAAAAGGACAACAGCAAAGTAAGTAACAGCCTCACCTACCACCAGTCCTCATTGTTGGAATTGAAGCAGAGAAAGTTGTTCTCAAAGTTGGAGGGTCTTTCTTAGGAATGGGTGTGACCGAATAAATGTTCGAACATTAGCTTTTTGGCTCTTTTTGCACCATGTCTTGCTTTCTGTTGGAACCTAATCTCCCCAGTGTGTTCAAAGGCACTTGAAGGAACCTATTCCAATCTGGATCTTAGCCAAAAGGGTGTGCACCCCAATAGTCTCTACCTGTGACTGGTGTGAAATACTCTTATAATATTCTGCCCGGTGCAGTGGTTCACACATATAATCCCAGCACTTTGGGGAGCCAAGGCGGTTGGATTGCTTGAGATCAGGAGTTTGAGACCAGTCTGGGCAACATGGTGAAACTCCATCTGTATCAAAAATACAAAAATTAGCTGGGTGTGGTGGCACGTGCCTGTAGTCCGAGCTACTCAGGGGACTAAGGCCGGAGGATCGCCTGAACCCAGGAAGTCGAGGCTGCAGTGAGCTGTGATTGTGCCACTGCACTCCAGCCTGGGCAACACAGTAAGATCGTGTCTCAAAAAAAAATAAAAAAAAATAAAAAAATTCCCTGGGCTCCCCATGCTAAGGAGGAAGAGGAAGGACCTTTTCACATCTAGGTGATACAGTTCCTTTGTCTTGCTTAGCACATGGCTGTAATAGGTAAAGGGAAGATATAACCAAGTATAATTTTATTTTATTTTCTTCTCCAAAAGTACATTCCAAAGATAAGTCTTCTATATTTTTTCATGCCACTGAATGGTATTCCATAAGATTCCTTTGTGAAGGGGAAAGCATGAGAAAAAGAAGAGGCTCTGTGTTTCCCAACTCTCTCCCTGCCTCTCGCCAATTGAACCTGGCATCTTCACATTCATTTTCTTTACATACCCGTGGATAACCTAGTCTGTCATCTTACAATTGAGAAACCAAAGGTCCAGATAAGACAAGTAACTTGTCCAAGGTCTCTCAATAAATCCATATTAGAGCCAGGAATAGATGCCAGTCTTCTTGCTCACTCCTTTACTTACAGTCCATATGGCTCTTTCTTATAAATTAATCTGTCAGAAAATGACAGCATATTCAGACACAAATAAGAATGAGTAGAGGGTGAAGAGAAATGCTATGTCTTGATGTTGTGTTTTGATTAAATGTGTGAGATCTCCTTATCCTTTTTAAAATCATATGTTAGAATCACCACTTTATCGGTAGGGATATGATTTATTCTTCTTTAGAATTTTAGCACCAATTTCAAGCTTGGCATAGAATAAGTTCTCAGTAAATGCCTGTGTATATAGATGAATAAATGAATGAATCCATAAAATTTTTAAAATTCCTAATACCAGCAGCTCAGAGCTAAGACAGTCACATCCATTGTCCTACTTTAAGGGTAGCACTCATCTCAGCTGATGCTTGGTATTTCAGGTGGGCAGCAGGGAAAGAGCCAAATTATACTGCTAACAGGTCACTGGAACTGATGAAAGGGATTTGGGGTGGGGGTGAAAATTAGATGTAGGTTGCCATTAATGCAAGTAATCATGCGATGTGATGTATTTCTTCCCGAGACTGTAACTTAAATCCCAATTACCTTCTGGTGACAAATTAACTCACTGAGTAATTCATTTTGACTGTTGGAGCTCCCACCTTCTGTGTTACCATCGCATGGGGAAGGTGTATGACAAATTTCCAGATTTAATTTTAGTGCTTGGGAGCCCAAGTGGCACAATTACCACATCAAGAGTGATGGCAGAATATTAACATTGAAGAGTTCATGTGAAACTGAGTTTTAACTAAGAATGCTCATACTGATACACTTGCAAGCAATGTGAAGCTCTGACTGGTCCCAGGCACCTAGACTTTGGGTTTTTTTCTTTTCTAGCTTCATTCTGATCCTTCTCATTCAAAAGTCCCCTGGGTCCTGCTGATTGTGTCTCCAGCACATCTCTTGAATTCTTCCCTTTCTCCCATTCCCCACCATGTTTCATTTTGACTGTTGAAAGCAGTATGCATAGTGATCAAGGTCACAGATCCCATGGTCCATTGGTAGGATTTCAAATCATGCCTCTGCCTTGCCCTCCCCATGTAACCTTGGCCAAGTTGCTTAGATGCTATAGAGTTGTCCTGAGTATTAACATAATTATACAGATAAAACACATGGCAGATCGTAAATGCACAATTGATCGTAGTGTTTATATTAGCATTAGCATCCTAATCTGGCTCCTGTCCATTATTCAATGACTCCAGTCCAGGAGTCTGCAAACATTTTCTGCAAAGGGCCAGATAGTAAATATTTAGGCTTTGTGGGCCCCATGGTTTCTGTTGTCACTACTCATTTCTGCCCTTGAAGCAAAAGCAGCTACATACAGTAAGCACACAACTGAATATGGCTGTGTTCCAATAAAGTTTGCTTTAGGAACTCTGAAATTTGAATTTCATATAATTTTCATGTGTCACGAAAAATTATTCTTTTGATTATTTTTAACCACTCAAAAATGTAAAAACCATTCTTAGCTTGCATATTGTACAAAAACAGATGGCGAGCCAGATTTGGTCTGTGAGCTGCAGTTTGTTGACCCTGGTTCTAATCCATTGTCTCCTCTACAGCCAGTTTAATCTTCCTGAAAGCCCCCCCCAGATCTTTTTTTTTTTTTTTTTTCTCATCTCAAAACCTTCAATGACTCTATATTGCCTAAAATCAAAACAAATCAGTCTGGCCTGGAAACACTTTGAAACCGTGGCTCTGGCAAACCTCTCCATTTGTCATTCCCAAACAGGGTCTGCCCAGGTTTTTATGTCACATTCCCAGCGAGTTCCATCCACTCTTTTCAAAAGTTTATGGACTTCATCAATTTACCTAGTATAGAAAGAAGTGGAAGCCACCGAAGGCTTAAGGAAGGGGCTGTTCTAACAGCAGCCCAGCTTTTCTGTACAAAGGAGCCCATTCACAGCTGTGGGGCTGAGGATACTGAGGAAACCCTTCCCTAGCTGCTCTATAACTACTCTCCCTAACTTGCTCCATTATCCCAAAGGCTTTCCGTTCATCGAATCTCATTTCACCTTCACAGAGATTTGATAAAAATGTATACCCATTTTGCAGCCGAAGAAACGCATTCACAGAGAGGTTATGTAACTGGCCTAAGGTCACACAGCTAGTATTTAACAGAGCCAGGACTTGAATTCAGGTATCAAGAATGAGGCAGCTCATCCTCTTAATCATTACATTGTACTATCTTATTGAATATTTTCTTGCATGACAGCTGGTGACCTTCTGAGAGGAGCTTCTTCAATTGACAAAAATAAACTTTCCATTATGTGCATGAATGTGTATAGGCATATGTAATACCTTCCCCCAAAGTTAAATTTCCCCTTTCTGTCAAACTCAATGATAACAGAAGGAACACAAGATACCTTATTTACAATTGCAAAATCCACACAGACAGCCTTGAAAGTGAGCCCAGACATGGAAGAAATGCTGCTTTGAATGTATACTAATCCACAGTGAAGGACTTATCATATTAAAACATTTCCCATCTCCCTGCATTATCATCACCAGAGGACATGTTATAGGCAGAAAGGGAGAAGCTGCTAAAATGAATTAGTTGCCTCGTTTTCCAGCACAGAGAGGTGAGACCACATGAATGTAATATTCCATGACATGAAATGGCCAACTTCCTTTAACAAGACTAATTCAACCTGAATCAGCACGTAGTTGGGGGAGGTGTGAAATGCTTGCATCTCTCTCCTCTGGACCTTGAGACTTCTGAGAAGATCTTAGTGGCACAGCAAGCATAGAAGACAAAATGCCTCAGGCTGCCTGTCTTTGGCTCCCTGACCCCTGTCAAAGCAGGCAGCCAATACAGTGTAAAGTTGTCCATAGACCAGAACTTACGTACCTTCATTCCCCACTCAGGTTTGCCCTTAATTTGCTGTGTTATTTTGAGCAAGTCACCGCAGCTCTCTGCTTTGTGTCTCTGGCATAACCAACCTTACATCATTGGCCTTCCACTCTTTTTTCAGAGTGGAAAGCACTGCAGCTCGATCAGTGGTAAAGAGCTTGAAACATGAAGGCGAGCCATTTGGGTTTGAATATTGAATCTGTCACTCATTGCTGAGTGACTTGGGCCTGCTATTTAGCCACCTCATGCCCTGATTTTCTCATCTGCAAAATGGAAATACTAATAACAGTACCTCTCTCACATGGTGTTGTGAGGATTTAGTGATCTAATCCCCATAAAGGTTTTAACCACACTACTAGCACATGCTAAGCACATAATAAACGATGACGGTAATTATCATAGTCTTCTGTGAGGCTCTAATTAATACAGCAATAAGTAACATTTGTATAGCTTGTACAGTTTTCTATATAAATTAATCCCATTTAGTCTTCCTGAAAACCCCAAACAATATTATAGGTATGGCTTATTCCCAATTCAGATGAGAAATTTAAGAACCACATAGGATAAGTAACCAGTCCAAGGCTACACAAATAGTTATTGTAGGTTATTGACTGAACAAAGCACTCCTTTCTGTCTTCTTTCTACAGCTTGTAAGCATTAACCTCTTTTATACGTGTAAGGAATGATTACTATCACTGAAGAATCAGGGATCTCTGAACTTCAACATGTTCTAGCATTTGTAGATTTTCTCATGTTTGCTTTTATGCAACACTAAAAATGCTTTGAGTTTTCCAGCTAAAGGTAAGAGTAGTGTTCTAAGTGGCTAAGACATCTATCTCTTTTAGCCAAGATTAGATTAAATGTGTTATAGAAGAACGTGAAGAGAAAGACGGGAAGTATTATTAATCTCTTGACTTGCAAAGTAGGATCGTACAGCAAGACAATAGGCTTGTAAACTGGAGTATTGCCTTCAGAGATAAATTACCAAGCCTTGATTCTCCCCTTTACCCTGTCTGGGGCTGAGCCTAAGGGACCTAGTTCTTAGCATATGACAGGAAAGCCATGGGAGCAGCTTAGTGGTAGGAGGATCTAATTCAGAAGAAAGTCCCTTTCTAACCCAGAGAGTTGTTTGGAAAGAGGAAAAAGAGCAACAAGGTGGCAGAGGTGTTCTGATATTCCCTTCTTTAGGCCAAAGCCAGGAGCTACATTGGAGAAATAATGGGAAATATATTGATGGCACCGTGTTTTTATTTTCATTCATTCCTCAGGACTCTAGAATGAGCAAACTTTTGTGACTACACCACAGGAACCTGCAGTGAGTGGGGCATAATGTTGTGAAGCAGAGAGACACAGAAGGGGAAGCCAGCATTCAAACCACTAGCCTCCCCAGGCAGAGAACATCACAATAGGCTGCAGGAGAAATGACTGGTCAGTGAACCGGATGCAGGATATGACGCAGATGTGGGGATCTATAGCCAGTAGAAAGTGAAGGGAGGGTGACCAGGATCAGACCAAGCTGAGGGAGGGACCAGACTATGACTCATTCCAGCCACAGGGAGAGGAGGACAGCAGAACCAAGCAGTCAAGGCTGATGGTTCCAGAGGCCAAAGCAGGTAGAGGCTGCTACACCCAATGACTCAGCTCCCCTTTGCTTTCTCCAGTGGGTGTCAGCCACAGCCTCTGCCTTGTGTATCTGGACACTATATTAAGGCAGGTGCAGGGGAAGAGAGAGACTATCCAATAAATGGATTATGATTATGATTATTATTATTATTATTATTATCATTGTTATTATTGAGACGGAGTTTTGCTCTGTCGCCCAGGCTGGAATGCAGCGGCACGATCTCAGCTCGCTGGAAGCTCCACCTCCCGGGTTCATGCCGTTCTCCTGCCTCAGCCTCCCGAGTAGTTGGGACTACAGGCGCCTGCCACCATGCCTGGCTAATTTTTTGTATTTTTAGTAGAGACGGGGTTTCACCATGTTAGCCAGGATGGTCTCGATCTTCTGACCTTGTGATCCGCCTGCCTCGGCCTCCCAAAGTGCTTGTATTACAGGCGTGAGCCACCGCGCCCAGCCAGGATTATTATTTTTTAAATCAGAGACACTGAGTACCACCTAAAGGGACTTAAATTATGCAATTGGAATGAAACTAAAGTGAATTGAACATTTAGTTTCACTTAGATTTTATTTTTCCTGCCAACTGTCATATGAGAGTTTGAGAGGGAGCCCAGATTAGACTTAGAGAAAAATAAATAAATTACATTTTATCTGCACACATGAATTCTAGAGTGAGTTAAATTTACCACAGCGTGCATATATATGTATATATATGATACCTTGTTTTATATAGCTCCTTATAGTTTTAAAAGCACTTTGTACATTAATGACATTTGATTCTTACAATATTTTCGAGACTTTGGCAGGACATGAGTTATTTTTCCCACTATACTGACTAAAAAACTGAGGGCTAATTATTTCTTCAGCATTATAGTTTTAAGTGATTGAAAGGATTGGACTTAAATTTATCCTGTAAATCTAAAACTAGTATTTCTCCCACTATATCATGTTGCTGAAATACATGTGTATGATATATATATATATATATATATATATATATATATATATATATATCTCCAAGCATAATTCATGGATGGTTATATTTTGAAGAGTATAAGTAAAATAAAAAGTCATTCAGACTATACATAAAGAGACAAGTCATTCAGAAATGTTTGTATAGGACTCTGCAATACTCTGAATCCTACAAATGAAGATGTAGAAAAATGTATAATAATTACACTTCTTTGGTACTTGAGAACTTTCTTGATCTATCCTCTACCTGTATTTCCATTTCTATGTTCCTTTGTCTGGAAATCTACTCCTGTCAAAGATGCTTCCCTGGTCCTCCAGGGAATTTCTTCATCCAGTGTTTCCCAAACCATGTTTTACAGAATACTAGTTCCCTATGGTGTAAATAGGTATAAAAAGGAAAAAGAGTTCTAGTGCTCAAATAAATTTAGAAAACATGAAGTTAAACATATTAAATAGATGTCTCTGCTAACAATTTTTTTTAGATGCTTTGATGATAACTTAGGTTTATGACTCCTAGAGGGAGATTAAATGTGTGGCATTTCCTACCTTATATAAACATGGAATCATTTTGGTTAGTGGTATTCTGTATTATTCATGTTCATGTTCTTTAAAGCACATGTTAACACTGCCACCATAATCAGTAACTCTGATGGATGGGAGAGAGTTCGGGCTATGACATGGGTCATTCCATTGACCATTAAGTTTGATTCAACTGATTGGGTGGATGGATGGTTATAGCCTGGTGCTACATGCTCCAGCAAACAGTGCCATCTTCCCATGAGGACCGCTATTAGGCCAAGTGTCTGTAGTCCCCTGAGATCTTGATTCCTGCTTGAGCACTCTTGCCGTAAGTCAGATATCTATAGCCATGGGTCATTCTGGGAGAAAATTAGGTCTAGGTGAGAAGAGTGCTAGGAAAACTAATTTCATTCATTAAAGCAACAAATATTTTTGAACACCTGCAAGGAGCCAGACATTGTGCCAGGAGCTAGGGATATAGTAATAAATAAATAAAGTATGGTCACTATTTTCTTGGGCCTCACAGTCTAGGGGGCTGGAATTTGAGAAATAACACACATGGAGACTAGAATGATAAAATAGTGTCATGTTACATAAGTGTATGCTTAGGTACAATGGAGGCATGTGGCAAGAAGTGCCTGGGTCTGTCCAGAAGAATCAGAGAAGGCTTTAGAGAAGAGGGAGTGCCAAGGCTGAGGCTTGTAGGATAAGCTGTATTTTTGTCTGCTGAAAATGTAGAACATCCCAAGAAGAAAGAAGAACATGTAATAAAGTAGAGACCTCTGAAAGAACATGGTACTGTCAGAAAACAAGAAGCAATACAGAAACTGAAGGATGTGTTGGAGGATCTAATGCTAGAGAGATACACAGAAACCAAATTATGATAAGCCTTGAGCCTCGTGCTGAGGAGTTTGGACTTTACCCTGTTGGTGACAAGAATTTGTTTACTATTTTCCTAGGCTGTTCTGACACTCCTCCTTCTCCACTGATGTTGACAAAAAGTTGGATTGTGATAGAAGCAACCAGCAACCCAAATCTTGGGTCCCTACGGGTAGGAGAAACTAGGATTCAGCCAGTCCAAGGGAACCAATCTTGCATTTGGAACATGGTAGCAGGATTATTCTGAGGCACAGTTAGGATTTATGGTTCAAGGAGGATCCATCACCATGGGGCAAGATCAATGAGGAGCCTCAGGACCCCAGCCTAGCAGCCAAAATATAAGCTGTCTCTCACTCCTGGCAGGGCATTCCAAAGTAATCAGGACACTAGGACAAATGCTATGCCCCATCAACTAGGCAAACACTCTGTGGATTCAGAAATGGGCTGCTAGTCATGAGACACACTGAGGACTAGAAAACTGATCCCCAAGGCTGCCTCTTTGTGAGGTTGAGTCCTCTTACTAAAAGCCTAGTGATTTACAACAATTATCTCATGTAATCATCACAACAACCCTAGAAGGAGGTTTCACTATCCTTGTTTTACAAAAATGGAAGCTGAGTTTTTGAGGCATAGCGAAACTTGCCCAAGTATACACTGGGAGTTAGTAGACAAACCAGAACTTAAAATCTGGTCTGTCTCACTCTGAAGTCTGACACAGCTCAACCAGCATGCTACACTTGCCATGCAACACTGACCAGCATTGGTCAGTATTGGCCAAAGGATGAGCTGGGACTCCCTGGAAGTTCCTCAGTACCAGCAGCAGAGAGGAATACTGTAAATCATGGCCCACTGTATCTGTTGACTTTGCCACTCAAGGGCCACTGTCTCTTCTTCATGACTTTCTAGGTACTTCCATGCAAAATGTTATCAGGATCAACATTCCTATGGCACCTTCCTCTGAGAAACACAATGCCTTATGAAAAAATTATCTCTTTAATCCCCAGCCATCCATCTGAGGTAACAGTCATTTCTAGTCTTTTATTTCCAGTATCCAAGTTAAAGGAACTGATTTACAAGGTAATAGAGAAAACTCTTCCAGGATTCCCCAACTAGGAAAAATGCCCTGTTCGTTTATTTTCTCTGCCTACTAGAGGCTATGCACTCTGTTCTGTACCTTGGGGCTCTAGCCTAGATATTGTGTTTGGATTACTAAAATTGCTTAATGAATTCACCAGCAAATTTCTATTAAGTACCACTAAGCTCAGATTATGGGCCTAAAAGCCCACTTTAGATAAGACTTTTCCCCACTTGGAGCCTTAGCTTCTTCGTCTATCAAAGGAAAAGATTAGCTTTGTGATATTTAAAATCATGCGTAACAATGTGATTCATACCCATTTTACAAATGATGAAATTGAAGATCACAGGGTTAATGGTTCAAATACATTTCAGAACTATAATTCTAATCAGTTGGTAAGGTGTTATTTTCAAAGAAATCAATGCTTAAAAATATGTATTGAGCTCCTGTTACATGCAAGGCCCTATGGGGTACATAAATAAAAGGAAACCAAGCTCTCTAAACAATTATTGATATATTAGAGGAGAAAGATACATTTCAAAATTCCAACATGATACGAGAGGAGTTACAGTGAGAACATTAATAAGGTTTCAGGAGAATAGAGAGAAAAATTGCTACCTAAGCCCAGGATTTCTAAGAAAGCTTAAAACAAAGGCGACACCTCAGCTGGGAGGAAGAAATAAACTGTGAGCTGATAAAATTGACCAATGACCAGTTGCTCCTTGGTAGCTTCTGGAAAAAGACATCCTAACTTTACTTTCACTGCTTTTGGAATCTAAAAATAGAAAACTTTAGCACATAGAGTCTTAGGATCTGCCCAGTGGAAAAAGAGCTGTGAAGAGATCATAGAAAAGCTAAATAGAGAAGGTCCTCAAAAATGAGGCGTATGCCTAGAATGTCAGCCTGCTGTCTGGCAATAAATATGGTGGGCATAAAAATAAATAAATGTGTCTGATGAGAACAAGGGGAAATAAAAGGAAAAGGCATTGAAGATAATAGGAACCTGCACATTGTCCAAGCTATCCAAAACCCTGGTAAGATTAGAGTGATTTTAAGAGACAAAACCAAATTGGTAAGGGGATGTCAAGATGAGAATAGCAAGGGAGACAACAGTAAGGAGAGAGATAAATAAGCTGTTTTTCAAGTCCACATTCAACAAGTCCTCAGTGGAAGGGTTGTCAGGGCCTCAGAGACTCACTCAGTGTAATTTATAGACAAGGAAAAGGCATTCCTTTAAAAAATTAAGTCTTTGCCTTAGTGACTGTTAACAGAAGAGGTTGGGAAATGAATGCTAGAAGAGAGCATAAATTCCCTTCTAGAGGAGAGAGAGCGGCACTTGGAAGAAATAAAGGTGAATCCAGACAAGAAGAAGTTGATTAAGAAGTAAGTGTGCTCGGAGATTGAGAGGGTGGTCAAGCCTGGGGTGATTAACTGGTGTGTCTGAAAAGGCACATTCCAAATTGCATAACATCTCAGCATCTCTGGACTGTCAGTGGGGAGGACAAGGTGAGTGTGGGGAGCCCGGGTCTCAGGCACACAATGAGCTGTCTTGCTGTTGGATATGCAGGAGGTGGGGAACTGGTCTTTGTTGAAAAGAAATTACCTGCTGGGCACTGTGATAGGTGCTTTACATGGCTTGTCTCACTGATTTCTCATGTTACTCTGCAAGGTGGTTATTATCATCAAAGAATGAGGGTTAGAGATGTTAAATAACCTGCCCAAGTTCACACGGTAAGTAGCAGACCTAGGATTTGAACTCCAGTCTGTTTGATTATAAATATGCACTTTTCACTTCACTCCATATGTGAAATAGTCATATCCTTTTATATTTTCATAATGAACATGTCAAGCCTAGTAACTGGTAGGAGCTCAAATAATAGTAGCTAGTAAAAGTAGAAGTAGGAATGGAAAGAGAAGGAAAGGGAGGATCTGTGTGTAAAAGGATCATAGTATGTATCTCAAAGAGCAGTTGTGAGAAACAAAGTAATATATGTCAAGTTCCAACACAGGGGGGCCTAGGGCATAGTGGGAATTCAAAACTGGTGGATCCTTCCTTGGTACTAGACACTTTGTGTCATATTTCTTTGTAAGTTTTCTATCTGTTTGAATTCCTCTATTAGACTATAAGCTACTAGAGGGTAGAAATTTGCCTAATTAATCTGTATTTTTCACAGAATCCTACACATAATGAAGCCAATGTGGATTTATTGAATGTGGGCAAGTGCAAATGAATGCAGATTAGGACTAAATAGTATAAAAATGTCATATTTCCCTTTACAATGACTATTGTCACTAATATTATTTTATTAGTCCTAATAGCTATCTACCATGTTTAAAATACACACACACATATGAGTACACATGCATGTGAGTGTGAGTGTGTGTGTAGTAATGCACCAGGTGCTTTATATACATGTAAAACCAGTTTATTGAGGAACCCAAACTCAAACATATATAAACATGATGTTATTCGCCATTCACTGTTTGCAACATGCTGGTAAAATCTCCTTTTCTCATTCTTTAGCGATAGATATCTTGGGCAGAATCTATAACTTTTCAATCATTTTCTGTTATTAAAAGTTCATCCAATATACACCTCCCATCTGATACCAGATGTCATACCTGCCCCTCCTCTGTGCTGCCTAGAATTGTGACTTAGGGATGGTGGGAGAAAGTTGCTTTGGGCTGGTTCTGGGATACTTCTACTTGTCTTTCCCACATTCATCTCCTCTGATATTGGGGGTTGGAGGATGTATTAGTTCCTTTTCATGCTACTATGAAGAAATACTTGAGACTGGGTAATTTATAAAGGAAAGAGGTTTAATTAACTCACAGTTCTGCAGGGCTGGGGAAGCCTCAGGAAATTTACAGTCATGGTGCAAGGGGAAGCAAACATGTCCTTCTTCACATGGCAGCAACAAGGAGAAGTACAGAGCAAAGGCACGGGGAAAGCCCCTTGTAAAAGCATCAAATCTCGTGAGAACTCCCTCGCTATCATGAGAACAGCATGGAGGTAACTTCTCCCATGATTCAGTTGCCTCCTGCTAGGTCCCTCCCATGACACTGTGGGGGTTATGGGAACTACAATTCAAGATGAGATTTGGGTGAGGACACAGCCAAACCATATCAGAAAGGAAACAGAGCAGGAGGGGCAACTACCACTTTCTTATCAGCTCATGAAAATAGTTCCACTCTCTTGGCTGGTTGCTGCTTCTATGGCTTTCCCTCTTATGGTCCGTTGGTGCCTCCTGTTAGCCATATATCCAAATGCTGACCGGGGAAGGTGTATATGTGAGGTTCTTGACAGGGCTCAGTGTGGTACACTCTACACTGCTCGACCTCTGCCACACCTTGGCAGGTCACAGCAAAACTTCTTGTTGAGAATCCTTTCCTGACAAGAAATCTTCTTGGTCAGCAATCAAGATAGCCCATACCTACCTGACTTCTGTGACTTCTGAACCACAGATAATTACTCATCCTTGCTACATCAACCCATAGGAGTACGTGAAGGCTGTGCTATTAATTGAATGTTTGTGTCCCACCAAAATGTATGTGTTGAAACTGTAAGCCCCAGTTGTGATGGTATTTGGAGATGGGGCCTTTAGGAGGTAATTAGGTCATAAGGGTGAAGCCTTTGTGATAGGTTAGTCCCCTTCTAAGAAGAGACACCAGACAGCCTGCTTGCCTTTTCTCTGCTCCCTGCCATGTGAGGACACACGAGGAAGACAGCCAACTACAAACTATGAAGAGGGTCCTCACCAGAACCCAACCATGCTGGCACCCTGATCTAGGAATTCTAGCCTCCACAACTGTGGGAAATAGATTTCTGTTGTTCAAGCCACCCATTTCTGTTGTGTAAGTCTGAGGTACTCTGTTATATCAGCCTGAGCTGACTAAGACAGGCTGATTTGGGGCCATACCCTCTGTTTCCTACCATCTCTCCCAATTCCCTTCTACCTCTTCTCGCGTGGGCCCAAGAAGCCAGTTGAGTGGTCTGCTGCATAAATAGATATCTCAGAGAGAATACCTGGCATTCTCCCTTGCAGGCACCCCATGCTTGGCGGCAGGGGCGGGGGTGAAGGGGGAGGATCTTCCTGGCACCTTTTCTCCTTTTCCCTGGGGGCAGGTTGTGGTTCAGGGAGGTGAAAGAAAGGCCTCTGCACTAAGCTCTCAATCCTTCCAAAGCCTCTAGTATCTTCCTCCTCAGCCCTCTTCTCCAAGATTTTTGTTTTGATTTGTTTTGTTTGTTTAAGCGAAGGGTGGGGGGAGTTGGTAATGCTTGAGAAGTGGGGTCATGGAGATGACAGCAAAGTCAGTTTTGCTGCTTTGAAATAAGTCCTAAGGGAAATGTCTGACCTCAATTTTTGGTGGCAGCTCTTAGATATGAACCCTTTTATCTCAACACTGAGTTCCAGCTGCCAATTTTGAAGCAAGATAGAGTCTCAATCAACAACCATTTACACATATTTACAACATACACATGTGTACTCTATGAAGTAAAACTTCTCCTCTTTTCATAGTTAGAAGAATCAGGCTCAGAAAAGGAAAAGTGAGTTGTCCCAAGTTCCTCACAGGAAGTAACAGAGCTGGCGTCCAAACTGGGTCTGCCTGACTCTAGAGTCCATCCTGAGTAAAGAGACTCTCTCTCTTAAGCATGGGTGGGAAATACATAGAATAACTTTTGTCACCACAAAAGTTGGTTCCCTCATACTTCTTTGTGGTTAGTGCTCTCCCTGACCTCCAGTTCCTGGAAACCACTAATTTGATTTCTATCTGTACAGTTTTGCCTTTTGTAGAATGTCATATAAATGTCATCACACAGCATGTAGCCTTTTGTGTCTGGCTTCTTTCACTTAGCATAATGATTTTAAGGTTATTCATGTTGTTGCTGCAAGTATCACTCATACAATCCTGTTTATTGCTGGGTGGTATCCCATCATGTGAATGCACCCAGTGTTTTTTTACCCATTCCTCAGGCTATAGACACTTGCATTGTTTCCAGTTTGGGGAAATTATTAATACAGCTACTATAAATATTAATGTTATTTATGTACAAGTCTTTGTGTGGACTTATGCTTTCATTTCCCCTGGATAAATATCTAAGAATGGAATTGCTGGATTATTGGGTAAGCATATATTTAGTTTGATAAGAAACTGCTAAACTGTTTTCCCAAGGGATTGTAACATTTACTTTCCACCAATAGTATTTGAGAGTTCCACTTGCTCCAGATGTTCTTCATCACTTGATATTCTCATTTGTTTTTTTTTTAATATTTAATCATAATAGGTATGCAGTGGTATTTAATTATGTCTTCATTTTTATTTCCATAATGATGAATGATACCGAGTATCTTTTCATGGGCTTATTTGGTATTCTCATCTTTTTCTGATGAAGTACATATTTAATTGTTTCCTCATTTTAAAAATTGTGTTGTCTTATTGAGTTTTAGGAAGTTTTTATGTATTCTTCTTACGAGTCCTTTAACAAATGTGTGTTTTGCAAATAAACATTTTCTACCAGGCTGTAGTTTGCCATTTAATATTCTTAATAGTTTCTTTTGAAAAGCCGAAGATTTTAATTTTAGTGAAATTCAGTGTATCAATTTTTTTATTTTATAGTTCATGCTTTTTGTGTCCTATAAAAACCTTTTTGCCTAATCCAAGATTACCAAGACTTTTTTTCCTATGTTTCTTTCTAGAAGTTTTATAATCTTAGATTTTTAGTTTATGTCTGTGATCTCTTTTAATTAATTTTTGTATATTGTGTGAGTTTGTCATGTTTTTTCCTTTGCAAATGGGCATCTAATTGTTCCAGTGCTATTTGAAAAAACTATTCTCTCTCCATTAAATTGCCATTGTACTTGGTAAAAAAAATCAATTGATTCTATACGTGCAGGTCTATTTTGGACACTGTTCTGTTCCATTTATGTATTTGTCTATTTATATGGCAATGCCACACTCTTTGCACTGCTTTGACCACTGTAGTTTTATGGTAAGTCATGAAATCAAATACTCTAACTCCTACAATTTTGTTCTTCTGTTTCAACATTGATTTGGCCATATTAGATATTTACATTTTTATATACATTTTATAATTAGCCGGACAATTTATTTTTTTAAATATCTACTAGAATTTTGACTGGGATTGTGTTGAAACTATAGATCAATTTGAGGATAATTGATATGTTAATATATTGAGTTTTCCAGTCCACTAATACAGTTTATCTTTCCATTTATTTAGGTCTTTTCTGAATTCTCTCACTGGTTTTTTTAATGGTAACAGCATAAAAATTTGCATCGTTTTTGTTAGATTTATGCCCATTTCATTTTTTTAATGCTATTGTGAGGGATTAGCTTATTGAAGAAAACCATAATGATATTTTATTCACAGAATTTTACCCAGAATCCAGTCATGTTCCACGGTTGTTAGGGTGGAAACTTTGCTCAGATAGAGCTATCTCTAAACTCCAGCACCACCATTTTGAGAAAGTAACACAGCATAGTTTTCAAGAGCCTATATTCTAGAGTTAGGCTGCCTGGGTTTGAAGCCTCACTCTACCACTGACGGGCTTTTAAACCCTGGTTTTCCACGGTTCAGTGTCTTCATCTGTTAAATGTGCATAATAATGTACTTACCTCATAGGGTTGTTAACAGGATCTAATGAACAGTGTCAAGCAATGTCAAGCACATAGAAATAACTCAAAACATATTAGCTTTTATTATTTATTACTAGCTATATGATCTTGGGCAAGCTAATTTTGATAAACTTCCATCTCCACTTTTATAAGTTAGAGATAATAATAGCATTAATAGGATTGTGTTGATGATTAAATTAAAATTAAGACTTGAAAAGACAGCATACAGTGCCTGGCACATAGTAAGCCCTGATTAATGGTAGCCATTAATAGCATCTATATTGGTACACTGTTGGACATATACAGGCATACCTTAGAGGTATTGTGGGTTCAGTGCCAGGCCACAACGAAGTTCATGTCTCAGTAAAGAGAGTCATGAATTTTTTGGCTCCCAGTGCATGTAAATGTTATCTTTATACTATACTGTAGTCCATTAAGTGTGCAAAAGTATTATGTCTTTAAAAGACAGTGTGAATACCTTAATTAGAAAATACTTTGTTGCTAAAAACCGTGAATGTTCATCAGAACCTTCAGTAAGAGGAGTCGTGATCTTCTTTGCTGGTGGAGAGTCATGCTTTGATATTGATAGCTGCTGATTGATCAGGGTAGTAATTGCTGAAGATTGGGGTGGCTGCAGTAATTTCTTCAAATAAGACAACAATGAAGTTTGCTGCATCAATTGACTCTTCGTTTTGTGAAAGATTTTTCTATACATGTGATGCTGTTTGATAGCATTTTATCCGCAGAACTTCTTTCAAAATTGGAGAGATCCTCTCAAACCCTGCTACTGCTTCATCAATCAAGTTTATGTAATATTCTAAATCCTCTGCTATCATTTCAACAATGTTCACAGCATCTTCACCAGGAGTATATTTCACCTCAAGAATTTTGATTCTGAACTTTATTTGATCATCTATAAGAAGCAACTAAGCAACTCCTTATCTGTTAGTTTTATCATGAGGTTACAGAAATTCAGTCACATCTTCAGGCTCCACTTCTAATCCTAGTTCTCTTGCTAGTTCCACCACATCTGCAGTTTCTTCCTCCACTGAAATCTTGAACCCCTTTTCAAAGTCATCCATGAAGGCTGGAATCAACTTCTTCCAAACTCCTATTAATGTTGATATTTTGACTTCCTCCCTTGAGTCACAGTGTTTTCAATGGCATGAAGAATGATGAATCTTTTTCCAGAAGGGTTTCAATTCACTTTGCACAGATTCATCAGAAGTACTCTCTATGCATCCATATCCTTATGAATCGTATTTCTTAAATATTTGAAAGTCAAAATTACTCCTTGATTGATGGGCTGCAGAATGGATGTTATATTAATAGGCATGAAAATAATTTTCATCTCCTTGCACATATCCATCAGAGTTCTTGGATGACTATGTGTGTCAATGAGCAGTAATTTTTTTGAAAGATATCTTTTTTCTGAGCAGTAAGTCCCAACAGTGGGCTTAAAATATTCAGTAAATTATACCATAAACAGATGTACTGTCATCCAGGCTTTGTTGTTATATTTCTAGAGCACAGGCAGAGTAGATTTAGCATAATTCTGAAGAGGCCTAGAATTTTCAGAATACTAAATGAGTATTGGTTTCAACTTAAAGTCTCCAGCTACGTTAGCCTCAAACAAAAGAGTAAGCTGTTTTTTGGAGCTTTAAAGCCAAGCATTGACTTCTCCTGTCTAGCTATGAAAGTCCTAGATGTCATGGCATCTTCTTCCTATAGAAGGCTGTTTTATCTTCAATGAAAATCTGTGGTTTAGTGTAGCCACTTTCATCAATGATCTTAGCTAGATCTTCTGGATAACTTGCTCCTTCATCTTGCACTTTTCTGTTATGGAGATGCTTCTTTTGTTGTGGAGATGCTTGCACTTTTATGTTATGGAGATGCTTCTTTCCTTAAACCTCAGGAACCAACTTCTGCTAGCTTCCAACTTTTCTTCTGCAGCTTCTTCACCTCTTTCAGCCTTCATGAAATTGAAGAGTTCAGGGCCTTGCTCTGGATTATGCTTTGGATTAAGGGAATGGCTCAGCTGGTTTGATATTTTATCCAGACCCCTCAAAACTTTCTCCATCTCAGCAATAAGGCTGTTTCACTTCCTTATTCACGTGTTCACTGGAGTAGCACTTTTAATTTTCTTTAAGAGCCTTTCTTTTGCATGTATAACTTGGCTGTTTAGTACAAGATACCTATCTCAGCTTTTTTTGTTTGTTTGTTTGTTTTTTGAGACTGGATCTCACTTCAACACCCAGCCTAAGTGCAGTGGCGCGATCTCGAGTCACTGCAACCTCCACCTTCCAGGCTCAAGTGATCCTCCCACCTCAGACTCCTGTGTAGCTGAGACCACAGGTGCATGTCACCATACTTGGCTAATTTTTGTATTCTTTTGTAGAAACGGTCTTGCCATTTTGCCCAGACTGGTCTCAAACTCCTGAGCTCAAGTGATCCACTGGCCTCCAGTTCGAGCTCAAGCTCCCAAATTGCTAGGATTATAGGCATGAGCCACTCATTAAGCCTGGCTAATAAGCTGTACTTCTCTCAGTTTTTGACATACCTTCCTCACTAAGCTTAACCATTTCTAGTTTTTGACTTAAAGTGAGAGATATATGACTCTTCCTTTCACTTGAACACCTAGAGGCCATTGCTAGGGTTATTAATTGGCCTAATTTCAGTATTGTTGTATCTTGGGAAATGGAGAAGCCTGAAGAGAAGGAGAGAGATTGGGGAATGACCAGTTGGTGGAGCAGCCAAAACACACTCAACATCTATCCATTAAGTTGTTGATTTTATATGGGTGCAGTTTGTGGTGCCCTACAACAATTACAATAGTAACTTCAAAGATCACTGATTACAGATCACCATAACAGATATAACAATAATGAAAAACTTTGAAATATTGCAAGTATTACTACCAAAATGGGACACAGACACGAAGTGACCACATACTGTTGAAAAAATGGCACTGATAGAATTGCTCAACACAGGGTTTCCACAAACCTTCAATTTGTAAAAAATACAGTATCTGCTAAGGCAATAAAATGGTGCACAATAAAGCAAGGTGCCGAAATGGACACTAAGCAAATCAATATTTTAAAAATAAAATACCTACTGGACAATGAGTACTTGCAGAAAAGCTTGCAGGAGAAATTAAAAAGTCATAAAAGTGGACTTCTGCATATTTAGATGATGCACAGACTGACATAGAAAACTATTTTCAGCCAGGTACAGTGGCACATGCCTATAATCCCCACACTTTGGGAGACCAAGATGGGCGAGATCATGTGAGTTCAGGAGTTGCCTGGGCAAGATGGTGAAACCCCATCTCTACAAATAATAAAAAATTAGGCATGAGTGGTGGCACATGCCTCTAGTCCCAGCTATTCAAGAGGCTGAGGCAAGAGGATTGCTTGAGCCTGGGAGGTCGATGCTGCAGTGAGCAGAGATCATGCCACTGCACTCCAGCCTGGGCCTAGGCAATAGAATGAGACCCTGTAAAAAAAAAAAAAAAAAAGAAAAGAGAGAGAGAGAGAGAAAGAAAGAAGGTAAGAAGGAAGGAAGGAAGGAAGGAAAGAAAGAAAGAGCAAGCAAGGGAGGGAGGGAAGAGGAAGGAAGGAAGGAAGGAGGGAGGGAGGGAGGGAGGGAGGAAAGAAAATGGACTATTTTCAACCATTCATGCTAAATGATTTTCTTTGGTTGTCCAGTATACTTTCTGTTTCCATACATTGTTTCTAAACCCCATCGCAGATGGTGGTTTTCAAGCTTCAAACGAAAATAAATCTATTTATTGCAATGTCTTCTAGTTACATGCACCCAATTATCACCGTCATTCAGAAAGCAGTGGCTGTTGATATTGAGCGACAATGTGACATTAGGCATTCAATGTTTGTAGCTTCAAAGCATTACCTACTTACCCAGGAAAAATTTAAAAGCACCCAAGATAGTACCTTTTGTTTTTAATTCTTCTACTTTCTAAAAAACAAAACAAAAAACTTTGCCAACTTATTAATGCCAGGCAAGAGAGAGACAGCAGGTTCTAGAAGATATAAATGCTGATTGAGCATTTTGGGTTATGGCATGATATTGGCATAGATGATAACATAATATCTAGGGAAATTAGCCAATTTAATTTCACAAACATATATTGAGTGTTTGCACAGATCGAGACATCGTGGGTAGCATAGGAAATCACAAATCAGTGGTATATAACAGGAAATGGCAGTGAAGATTTAAGCCACAGATATGAATGTCTAGTTGTGAGACTTAAAAAACTGTGTGTCTTTGACTGTGTCACCTGCCCTCTTTTTTCATATTCTTCATCTGTAAAATACGGGACCAGTGTAATGAGGTTGATTGGAACTTAATGATTTGGATTTTATTCTCTAGTTTTAAGATCCATTCTCTGGCTTCAAGCTTGTTTCATTCTTGTTGGAAGAAAAGGAGCGTACCTCGAAATAATTATCCTAAGTGCTGTTTGAGTAGGAGTTGGATTAATAACCTCAAGGTGGTAAAAATCCTGCGTTATAGGAGATATGAACTAAATTAACATTGCAGACTGTCTTCTCATCTGTAAAATAGGCTTAATTATCATTGCTTTGCCGTGTGTAGAATTAGTGAATTAATGTTTTTCAAACTCCTAGAATATTGAAAATATATTGAAAGTTAGTTGCTTGCCCTTCTGGATCTATTGTCTACTTAAACATTCCCAGATGTTATGTTTTTACATAATAAGGAAAACCGTACCTTGAAGACATTTGAATCATAAACCTGCCCCAGAAAGGTAAAGATCCAAATCAGTTTTACTGTCTTCAAGGTACCAAATTATCTATTATTTTAATGTAAATAATTTGCCCAATTTAATCAGCACCAAATTACCCACAACAGTTTTGCTTTTTTTTTTTTTTTTTCTCAATTGCTTTAACCAGATGCAAAGTCCTACCTTGATAACTATTCCATATTGGGAACTATTTAGAAGCTTTGGAATCATTTTGACCTGTGCTTAAAATTTCTCCCTGCTATTTACACAACTGTGTTACTTAGTTTACTTTCTGTGAGCCTCACTTTCTCCATCTGTAAATTGGGAATGACTCCACTTTCTAGGTTTTTTTGTAAGGTTTAAGAGATTAAGTAGGTAAAGCTTTTAGTAGAATGCCAGGAATAAAATAGGTGTCTCTAAATAATAGCTGTTGTCAGGTTTGCCTCTTACCTCCATGAAATAGAGACAGGATTTCTGGAAGTTGTTCTTTCTTTCATCATATCTTATTTCATCAACCATAATACCAGATTCTTCAAGTAGTTTAAGTGAAAGTAGCCTAAATGAAGCATCTTTTTAACTTCCAGCAATAGGAGAAAGTTTGTATCTATGTGATAGGAAACTATTCAGCTTTAACAATAATCTGATACTATGGAATCACGTTATAAAGCAAACTGAAAAAGTAATTAGGCAACTATATATATATATATATATATATATATATATATATATATATATATAGAGAGAGAGAGAGAGAGAGAGAGAGAGAGAGAGAGAGAGAATGATCTCAAATATATAAAATATGCATAGAACAAAAGATTGGAAAGAAATAATACAAAACGCCAGGGGCGGTGGCTTATGCCTGTAATCCCAGCACTTTGGGAGGCCAAGGCAGGTAGATCACCTGAGGTCAGGAGTTCAAGACTAGCCTGGCCAACATGGCAAAATCCTGTCTCTACTAAAAATACAAAAAATTAGCTGGGCATGGTGGAGGGTGCATGGAGGAGAATTGCTTGAACCCAGGAGGCAGAGGTTGTAGTGAGCCGAGATTGTGCCACTGCACTCCAGCCTGGGCAACAGAGTGAGACTCTGTCTCAAAAAAAAAAGAAAAAAGAAAAAAAAGAAAGAAAAGAATAGAAAAGAAAAGAAAAAAAGAAAGAAGGAAGGAAGGAAACAAAAGATTTAAAGTGGGTGGTAGTAGGAATATGGTAATTTTTTCCTTTTCCTACTTTTCAAAATATTGACAAATTTTTATACATTTCAAAATATGGATTTTTTTTCTTTTTTGTCTTCCACTTTTCAAAATTGTCTATGTTTTAACACAATGAACATATGTAACATATTACCCAGATAGAAAACTACATTTATTTGAGTGCAGAGTAAAGAAATCTGTATATATCAATTGTTGAAGAAGTTTCAAGCCTCATGAAGAATTCCCAAGACAACAGCCCTCTCTGACAGGGCCATGCTACTTAGTAATCAGTTTTAGTTTGAGGAATATTTATCAAATTCTCTCCTAATCTACTTCAATTACTTTTCTTGTTTTTTCACTTTGGCCATCTCCTGAGGATAACTTTATATTTAATTTAAATGCCTATGCTATGTATAGTTAAGAATGGCACACAAGATCAACATGTTAAAAATGTATGAGAAATATAACTGGCCCATGATTGACACAATGTGGATATATTTTTAAATTTAAGAGATGGAACCTCCAAGTGTTCAGAATCCTGATAGCTCTAGTTTTGGTCTTTATAATAGGGTACTCAGTTTGGAGCCATGAAATCCCATTATGACCTCCAGAGAATAATCTAGCTGAGCCCAAAATCCATTTAATTAAGTACGACTTTTTCTTATTTTACTTAAAGCATCGTTCTCCTATCTCAAGATTAGTCATTTGTAAGCAAGGTGGGGAAAGCAGACTGTCAGGTAAGAAAAATAGAAAATGGCTTTGGTGGCCTCAGGCCTCTCTTCTTGATGGAGAATGGCACACAGCCTAGTATCCATGGAAAAACTGGAGAGGTAAAGTGTGATGGGGGAACTGTCTGTGGGTAGAAAGTTTTCAGACTTAGCATCAGTTTTCAGCTCACTAAGGATTTTTCTATACTCTGCTCAATAATGGTAAAGAAACAGCCACAGTTACTTGGCATATGTCTGACTTCCCAAGAAAATTATGAGATGTAGGCAGTCAGAGAATATCCTCTCTATTTCTGCTTCACACAACATATGGCATATCATATCCACTCAATAAATATTGGTGAAATTCAATTTACGTTGTACAAACAGGCCTTTGAAATTATAGCACTGTTAGGAGTTTTCATAGAGGAGATGGAATGATTTTGAGAAACCAGAAATCAGATTTTATTATCACTCCTTTGCTTATAAAACAAAACAAACAAATCTCTGTAATGATTCTTTCCATGGCACTTCACCCTTAAGTTTGGCCTCTGCAGCTCTTGAGAATTGGTGGTCCCTGACTGCCTCTCCCTGTTTATCTTGTACCACTGATGCCATCCTTCATTTCGCTTCAGTCACGCTGGCCTTTCAGTTTCTATAATAAATGTGCTCATTCTCACCTCAGAGCTTGCAGTTGCTGATTCTTCTGCATGAAATGCTTTCCTGCTGTCTCTTTATATTCTTGATTCCTTCTTACTTAGGTCTTAGCTCAACTGTTAACCCCCCAGAGAAGACTATCCTAATGGCCACATTCAAATCCAGTCTTCTCATTACTCTCTGATTACATCACTGTTTTATTTCCTTCATAGAATTTTTTATTATCTGAAATATCTTCTTTATTTATTAATTCCCCTATTTATACTTACTAGAAGGTAGACTCGAGGTAGGCAGGGACTTCCTTGGTCTTTGCTACTGATTCTCCATGTTCTGTAGAATATTTGTGGAGTGAAGGAGGGAAAGAGGAAGGGAGGGAGGGAAGGAAAGAATAAAGGAAGGGAGGGAGTGAGTAAGGGAAGGAGGGAGGGAAGCAGGAAGAGATAGAGGGACTAAGGAAAGGAGGGAGAAAGGGAGGACAGAAAAGAAGAAATGAAAAGAAGGAAAAAAAGCAAGGCGGAATAAATTTTAGATCACACAGTCATTACAACTCTCCTACGTGACAGGATCCATAATCACAATTTTACAAATGGGTAAATTGATGTAAGAAGAAGTTATTTATCTATATAGCAATCGCAGATGGCGAATGGAAGAACTAGAACTCTAAGTAGAATATTTTTGAATTAAAGAACAGCTCTTTATCCTGAAAGACATTCTGAACTTCTGCTCCAGATGTGTTAGAGTAATTCTTGCCAGACTTACCCTTGTACTACAAACAACTAGAAAACTGGGAAAAAATTTAAGAAATAGCTAATATAAGACACTGAACACTAGACAGCTCAGGAATGTGATCCTTGATAAGAAGTCAACAGACGAGGTGAAAACTGCCCTTGCTCTTGCTTTCTGCCTAGAGGCACTTTTGGATTGCAGCAGAGGGAGGTGTATATCAAGCAGGGATGGCAAACTGAAGAGCTGAGGAAATGATGAGAGTTCAGTGAAACTGAGGCATCTAGAAGTAGCAGAACATAATTTCAAAGAAGAAATTGGTGTACAGACAATAAGCTCCAGAAATATGCATATGATTACCCTTAAGATGCATATGATCATATCATATGTGTATATCATGATATGCCTATCATATCATATGCATATGATAACCTATGAATGCATACGGCAGAAGCCCACTTAGCTGATTAAAGAACAACTAGAGAATTCTAAGCCAAGCAATTCCAGAGTGTATAAAGGAGCTTGAATTCTGAGCAGCAAGAGGAGGGATATTTCAATGAAGACTCCATGATTGGGTTAAACAAGCCCAAGAGTAAAGGCTATTCTAGACCTGTCATAGCAAACTTCAAAAACAAGCCTTTAAATGTTCAAGGTGATCTGAAAGAAACTGCCAAAATGAACTTCAACACTGTATAAAGGAAGACAACATAATCTAGAATTCAGTAACTAAATATTTACAGTGGTCAACATCCTGTCCCACAAAAAAATGACGGGACATGTGAAGAAGCAGGAACAGATGACCTAAAATCAGAAAAAATTAAGTCAGTAAATAGTTATAGATCAACAAATGGCAGAGATGATGGACTTAGTAAACAAGAACTTTAAAATAGCTACTATAAATATGTTCATAGACTTAAAGGAAACTGAACATTAAGAGGATACAAATGTACTATATAAATAAAAGAATCAAGTAAAACTTCTAGAGTTGAAATATATAATATCTGAAATATATATGTCACTGGAAAATTTTAACAGCAGATTAAAAACTGCAAAAGAAAAGATAAAGGAATTTGAAGACTGCAATAAAAATTATCCAAAATAAAATACAAAACAAAATAATTCTCAGTGACAGAGACCATGGGGCAATATCCAGTGATTTAACGTGTACGTAATTTGAATCTCAGAAGGAAAGAAAGAAAACAAAAATTATTTGAATGATGGCTGACAACATTCCAAATTTGACTATAAACTCAAAGATTAAAGAAATTAAATGAAAATCAAGCAGGATAAAAAACAAAACTATGCCAGCATACATCACAATTAGATTTCTGAATACAAATGATAAAATGAACATCTTAAAAGAAGCCCAAGAAAAGGGTACATTAAGTATAGAGGAATACAAATAAGAAGGTTCACTGATTTTTTTTAATCCAAAAAAAAAAAAAAAAAAGAAATTCAGAAAATAACGGAAAAATCTTTAACGTGCTTTAAAAAAAAAAAAGCTGTCAACCTAGTATCCTGTGAAAGTTTTCTTCCAAAATTAAGACAATATTGGAATTTTTTTAGAAAAATAGAAGCTGAGAGAATTTGTTGCCAAAAGTACAGAATACAAGTAGCATTAAATGAAATTTTTCAGATAGAAGGAAAATTGTATCTGCTGAGGACTTGCATCTGTACAGAGTTGTGAAGAGCACCAGAAATGGTAAACATGTGAGTAAATAAAATCATCTTTCCTCATTTTAAATTTTTTATTAAAAAAATAAACCATTTAAAGCAAAAATAACAACATTGTGTTGTGGAGTTTGCAACATATGTAGAAGTAATGACAATATTACAACAGATAGAAGGGGGAAATGGAAATATATGTTTGTAATATTCTTACATTACATGTGAAATGGTATAATATTATCTGAAGTTAGACAGTGATAAGTTGTAAACCCCAGAGCATTTACCTAAATAAATAACTAAATAACCAAATATATAAATAATAAACACTAAAAAGAATAGCTAATAAGGCAATTGTGGAGACAAAGTAGAATACAGAAAAATACTTAATCTAAAAGATGAAAAGGATAGAAAATAGAATAAAAAAACAGATGGAAACAAATAGCATGACAGTAGATTTAAATTCAACTATGTCAGTAACTACATTAAATGTAACTAATATAAACATGCAAATGAAAAGGCAGAGATGATTAAAAGCAAAACATGGATTAAAAGCAAGACCTAACTATAGGCTAAGTATCCCTTATTCTAAATGCCTGGACCAGAAGTGTTTCAGATTTCTGATTTTTTTTTTGGAATTTGGAATATTTGCACTATATTTATGGGTACCACATCCCCAATCTGAAAATCCAAAGTGCTCCAATAAGCATTTCCTCTGAGTGTCATGTTGGCACTGAAAAAGTTTCAGGTTTTGGAACATTTGGGATTATAGGCTGTTAGATTAGGGATACTCAACCTTTATATGCTGTCTGCAAGAAACACACTTTCAACATAAAGACAACATAAAGACACAGATAGGCTAAAAGTAAATGGTTGGAATATGCCAATCATAAAAAATCTAGAGAAACTATATTAATTTTAGACAAAGTAGGCTTTGGGACAAGAAATTTTACCAGGGATAAATACTAATTTTTCATAATTATAAAAACATAAAGATATCACAATTTTAAATTATAAAAACATAAAGATGGTATCACAATTTTGAAGCTTCAAAATACATGAAGCAAAAACTGAATAAGAACTGAAAGGAAAAATAACAAGATTACCGTTAAATTGTGAAATTATAACATTTCTTCTCTCAGTAATTGAAAAGATAAATAGATAAAAAAATCAGTAGAATATAGAAGCTTTGATCAGTATGATCAACCAATTTGAAATAATATTTTATAAAACTCAACACTCAACAACAGCAGAATACACTTTCTTTTCAAGTGCTCATGGAACTTTCACCAAAATAGAACTTATGCAGAGCCATAAAACAAGGTTCTCTGTTCTCTATCACAAAGATAATTAGATTAAAAATCAATTTTTTTTTCAATATCTAGAAAATACCAACTAAAACATGTCAAAGAAAAAATAACAAGTGACTTTAGAAAATAAACTAAAGTGCATTACAATGAAAACACAACATATCAGCTTTGTGGGATGCAGCTAAAACAGTGCTTAAAGGGAAATATATATCTTTAAATACTTATATTAGAAAAATAGGGTCTAAAGTCAGTTAACTTTATTATTAACTCCTCACCTTGAGAAGCTATTAAAAACAGCAAATTAAACTCTAACTGAAAGAAAAAATAATAATAAAGAGAAGAGCAGAAATCAGTGAAACAGAAACCAGGCAAACAATAAAGAAAATCAATAAAACCAAAAATTGGTTCTTGGAAAAGGTCAATAAAACTTTAATAAACATATAATTATGCTAACCAAGAAAAAAGAGGAAAAGACATAAATTCCAATATTAATAAGGAAAGAGGAGACATCACCATAGATACTATAAATGTTAGTGTTAATAAAGTAACATTATGAATACCTTTATGCCAATAAATTCAAGAACTTAGATGCATAGGAAAATGTCTTGCAATGCAAAACTTTAAAAAGTTGATAGAAGAAGAAATGGAAAACTTGAATAGTTCAATATGTACTAAAGATATTAAATTTATAATAATAAACTTTCTTCCAAAGAAAACTTCAGACACAGATGGCCTCATTAGCAAATTCTATCAAACATTTGAGGAAGATAGTACCACTCCCACACGAAATCTTTCAGAATTTAGATGAGGCCAGAGCCATGCTAACAATAAACAAAAAGAGCAATACATTCTGGCCAATAGAGTTTATATCCAGAACACAACATTGGTTGATAATTTGAAAATTAATCAACATAATTTATGATACAATTTGAATGAAGAAGAAAAACAATACAGCTATCGCTATAGATACAAAAGAAACATTTGACAAAATTCAACACTCATTCATAACAAAACCTTTCAGCAAACTAGGAAGAGAAAGGAAGATACCCAAGCTAATAAAGGGCATCTATGAAAAGCCACAGCTAATCTCTTACCTAGAAAGCTGGATACCTTTCCATAAGATCAGGATCACTTTCATCATTTCTATTCAACATTGTACTGGAACTGCTAGTTATTAAAATAAATTTGGAATGTAAAGGGCATAAGGCTGAAAAGAAAGAAGTAAAACTGTTCATGTTCACAGATGTAGAAAATTTTAATCTCCAGAAATGTACTGGAATTAAGAGGTGAATTTAGCCAGATTGCAGGATACAAATTCAGTATACAAAAAACAATTATATTTTCATATACTGGCAAGAAGCAGTATAATAATTTCTTAAAATACCATAGAAATAAATTTAATACAAAAGCACTAGACCTATATAATGAAAATCACAAAATATTGCTGAAATTTTAAGATTTGAATAAATGGGAAGCTTTACCATAATGCTGAATTAGAAAACTCAATATTTTTATGATGTCCATTTTCCCCAGATTAACTCATGATTCAAGGAGATCTCAATCAAAATTACAACAGGGGCTCCCCCCGCCAAAATTTACAATCCTATTCTAAAATTTAGATGAAAAATGCAAAAGACCTAAAACAGCCAAAATAATTTTGGAAAAGATTAACAAAATTGGAGGACTTACGATACCTTATTTCAAGACTTTTCATAAAACTACAGTAACAACGCATAATAGAATTGATGTAAGCATATCATTAAATGAAACAGAACAGAGATTCCTGAAATAGACCCACACATATATGCTCAACTGATTTTCAACAGAGTTGCTAAAACATTTCAATGGGAGAAAAGACTCTTTTTACCAAATAGTGGTGGAATTGCTGGATATTTATATGAAAAAGAAAAGTACTAGACCCTCATCGCATATCATACACTTAAATTACTTGAAATGGATAGTATACACAAACATAAAGGCTGAAATGATAAAGCTCCTAGAAGAAAATATATAATCAAATATTCATAACCTTGGGGTAGATACGTATTTCTCAAGACATATAGATCATAGAACATAACATGAAAAATACATAAATTTTACTTCACTAGAATTAAAAACTTTTGTTCTTGAAATAAAGACCTTGTTAAGGAAATGAAAGACAAGCCATAGACTTGGAAAAAACATTCACAAAGTGTTTGTCTGGCAAATAACTGGTATCCAAAGTGTTTGTGTGTACGTGTCTGTGTGTGTGTGTGTGTGTGTGTGTGTGTGTATACAACTCAATAACAAGAAGATAAATAATCCAATTCAAAATGGGCAAAATATTTGAACATTTAATTCAAACACATATATATATACACACATGTAATTAGCTAATCAGTACATGAAAAAATGCTATGTTAATTTCCTGGGGCTCTTATAACTAAGTACTGAAAACTGAATGGCTTAAAACAACAGAAATTTTTTCTCACACAGATCTGCAGGGTAGAAGTCTGAAATTAAGGTATCAGTAGGGCTATGGTCCTGAAGGTTCTAGGGAAGGATCTGTTCCATGACTGTTAGCTTCTTGTGGTTGCTGGCAGTTCTTGGTATTCCTGGGTTTATACATACATTATTCCAATTTCTGCATTCATTTACACATGGTATTCTCCTGTATGTGTGTGCCTGTAGTTAACTACCTGATCTTTTTTCAAGGACACCAGTCACTCGGTTTATGGGCCACCATAATTCAGTTTGACCTCAACTTAACATGATTATATCTGTAAAAATGCTATTTCCAAATAAGGTCACTGGGAGTTAGAGCCACAACATGTAATTTTGGGAGACACAATTCAACTCATAACAGAGGCCCAACATCATCAGGAAATTGCAAATTAAAACCACAATGAGAATGCCTACTAGAATGGCAAGGCTTAAAAAAAAATCTAAAAATAGTAAATGCTGACAACAATGTGGAGCAAATAGAATTCTCATGCATTGTTGGTGGGAGTGTAAAGGTTACAGCCACTTTGGATATCAGCCAATTTCTTATAAAGTTAAACATACTGTCACCCTATATCCCAGCGAGTCTACTCCTAGATGCTTACTTGAAAGAAATAAAAACATATATCTTTACATAGAGCTGCACATGAATGTTCACAGCAGCTTTATTCACAATAACCAAAATCTGGAAAGAATCCAAATGTCCATTAACAAATGTCTTAGTCCATTTTGAGCTGCTATAACAGAATATCTGAAACTGGATAATTTGTTTTTCAATAATAAACACAATTTTGCAAAGAACTTGGTAATTTATAATTAACAGAAATTTATTTCTCACAATTCTGGAGGCTGGGAAGTCCAAAATTGAGATGCAAGGGTCTGGTGAGAGTCTTCTTGCAGCATCATCCTATGGTGGAGGGAGGAAAGGCAGGAGGAGAGGTGTTGAGAGCACAAGAGGGGGCTG
This sequence comes from Homo sapiens, assembly GCF_000001405.40. NCBI lineage: Eukaryota > Metazoa > Chordata > Mammalia > Primates > Hominidae > Homo > Homo sapiens. Next base: position 57,772,171 of record NC_000001.11, on the reverse strand, counting down.
CCCTTATCCTTTTATAAGAAACCCACTCCTACAATCATAGCATTAATCCATCATAAGTGCAGAGCCCCTATGGCCTAATCACCTATTAAACATACCACTTCTTAACAGTGTTGCACTAGGGATTAAGTTTCCAATGCAGTCTTTTTGGGGGACACATTCAAACCACAGCAACAAGTGAATAGATTAGCAAATTGTGGAAGACTCTATACAAAGGAATAGCAATAATAAAAAGAAATAAAGTATTAATACCTCCAATGACTTGGATGAACCTCAAAATTACTATGGTGAGTGCAAGAAGCCAGAAGTCAAACATTGCTTATAGTAGGTATAATCATTACATGTATATAAATTTCTAGAGTGGAGAAAACAAATGTATCATGACTGAAATTAGATCATTGGTGTCCTGGGGCTGGGAGTTGGAGTGGGGAGAGTCACTGAAAACATTATAATAAAAGAAGAATTTGGGAGTGAGGTACATGTTCTATATATTGATAGTGGTGGTAGATGTACAGGTGTACGAATTTGCCAAAACATAATGATTGAGTATACTTAAAATAGGCTCATTTCATGTCATATAAATTATGCATCAATAAAGCTGATTTTTAAAATACAACCATCTGTTATTGGAGTGAAACTCCTCTGGGATAACTACTCTTCTCTAACTCACACTTAAGCCAGGCAGTTATAAGAACTAAATAGAACAACATGGGCTAACATCCCATGTCACACTCTACTACAAATAGCCAATCAGAGCACTTTCCTGTTAGGAAATTTTAGGGCTTATGACACAGTGTTAATATTTATATTTATATTTATTTCATGGTTGCTAATTATTCTATTTCAGAGATGTGGATAAATTACACCATTTTCTGAATTTTGCTGGCCTTGTAGCTTTTATGAATTACAAATTCCTGATATAAACTTGATTGTGGTATAGTCAAGCAAGCCAGCCAGTAAGCATCAGTGCCAATCAGTCTGCCACTTATCAGCTGTGTGACACTCACTCCTTCATTAAAGAACTATTTTTCAGGCAATAGTGATATGCCAGGTACTTCCCAGGTATGGGGCATGTACATTAATGCAATATCTCTGCCCTCGTGGAGCTTACGTCTTGTGCTTCGACTTACTTCGCCTCTCCAAGTTTCTAGGGTTTGCCATCTGTACAATGAGGTTGTAATACCATCTTCATAGGCTAGGGGGATTAAATGAGATCATGAAGTAATCTGCTCAGTATGGATTAGACAATGAGTTAAGGGTGCCCTCCTGCAGTGCCCATCTGTGTATCTCTGACTTTCTTACTGTCCTCTCCTTCTCTCCCATCCTAGCCTATTTTTCACCCATCACACATTTTCTTTCAATGTCCTTCTATACTATAATAATACACTGTAAGTGCCAATAGTTGTTTATTTTCTCAGCTAAAAAAGTTATTTGCATCTCTGAACGAATTAATTACATTCTTTTCTCATTTAAACTATTTTATTATTAAACTTGTATTAGATGGCATTAAAAAAAATTCCTGAACTGATTTTTGAGTTATCCTTAATTAAATGGAGCATGATATTCCTCAACAGTAACTCATTATATTAGAATAACATTTTGCCTTGACAGAGGTTTTTTTGGGCAGGCATGAAGGCTCATGCCTGCAATCCCAATGCTTTGTGAGGCAGAGGTGGGAGGATTGCTTGAGGCCAGCCTGGGCAACATAGCAAGACCACATCCCTACAAAAAAATTAAAAATTAACTGGGCATGGTGTCATACACCTGTGGTCCCAGCTATTCAGGAAGCTGAGGTGGGAGGATTGCCTGAGGCCAGGAGTTTGAGATTGCAGTGAGCTATGATCACACCACTGCACTCCAGCCTGGATGAGAGTGAGGCCCTGTCAATCAATCAATCGATAAGAAAAACAGGCTTTTTTATTATTATCTCATTTAATCATGTCAACAATCCTGTGAGGCCAATGATGGGGATTATCATATCTACTGCACAGATTAGTATACCAAGGCTCTTCTAGATTGAGAAGGCATTTGAATCAGAGCTGGGATATGATCCTGCTTTTCTTGATCTCAATTCAGTATACTTTTCATTTGTTTATGTATTTAACCAAATTTACTGAGTACTGATTGCAGACTGGGCATACATAATCCAATGCTGCCCTTAAGAAGCCAGTGTCTGGGGAAATCAGACCTGACTGTAGAGCAGTGACTATAACACATGTTGAAGATACAGTGACAGGGCACAGACAAGTATACAGGAGGAAGGGCTATCACAGAGGAGCAAAGGTTCAGCCTCAGGACACAGGAGAAGGGACTGTGCTGTGCCATGCAGCAGAGCACTGAGGATGATGATAATTTTTCCACATGAACAAGGAAGCAAAAGGCCGTTCTAAAACACCCCAAAACGGGAACTCTTAGCAGTTTCTATTTCATCTCTATTTTTATCGGTGTTGGGTTATTCTTCAATTTGACAAAAAAGAAAAATAAATCACAGAGAATAGAGTCCCAACTCAGGCACTCACCAACAGGACACATTTCCTATGGGTATTTCCTGGGCCTGTCCCTTAGGCTTGGGCCTGCTCAGCTGGAGAAGCCTGTAAGGGGAGGAAGTGGGGATCGGTTTGTGTTCATCAGTATGCATTTCTTGAAACTGGCCACCAGCAAAGAATCAAATCTCCTTGGAATATTCTTAAGCTTCCTACATGTTTGATTAGTTTTCCCCAGTAGGGAATGAAATAAAGGAAGCAGCTGTTGAGAGAGGGATCTTTCTCTCTGCATGGTCCGAGACTAGCTCATAGCATAATGTTGATCCTCACAAGACCCAGGAAAGGTCAGAATTATTCAGTATTTAATAGAAAGGCTACTAGTGGTTGGTCTTTGTGGTCAATGGGGGCAGAGGAGGACAGGAGAATTTGAGGGTTCTTTTTGACTGTTCCATAGCCCTTTGACACTCTTTTGTCTTAATTTCCTTTTCCATTAAAGAAGATACGGCACACATACATAAGGTTATTTCGTGCATTCATTTTCTTAATAGCCCACGGAGCATGTACCATGCAGCAGGCCCTCTGCTATGAGCAAGAGACAAGTAAGGTACAGCTCCCTGTAGGTGCTCCTGCTGGAAATGGCCCCACAGACACAGGGCTGTAGGTGGGTGAAGGGCAAAGTGAGCCCAGATGAAGGGGCCAAGTCACCCTGGAAGAAGAGGCAGGGAAGAGAGAAATCTGGTTGGGGGTGTGGCCAAAGAGCAATTTTGGTGGAAAAGAGAAATATCTAATGAAGAGCTCTTAAATGATTTTGGTGATATATCATATAAGCCCTCTCTTCCAAGCCCCCTATGAAATATTAAGTAAAATCTTTATTGCTCATTAATATTTGGTGGACTGGATTATCTTTAGGAATAAAGAGAAGTGCTGAACCCTGCTGCGGGGCTTGTGTGGGGCACAAGAAGCTGTACACAGAAAAAAATAGAAAGCCAATATGCAACTTTAAAAAATACATGTATACATAAAAAATATATGCCTGTATATCAAACTCACAAGCTAACTCACTATATATTGAATATATATACCTTACTGTATATATTTATATGTTTGTGTATATATAGATAATATATATATTTATAATTTATACATATACATGTATACACACATATCTGTATATGTGACTATGTGGTATATAGGTAAATCCCTCTTAAAAGCTTCTTGGGGAACAAAAAAGAGTGTTATTTGGACAATATATCCTTAGTATAATAACAAGCTAACACTTAAGTACTTACCGTATACCAGGTCTTTTTCTGAATATCTTAAATATGGTATGTCTCCTTTGATCTTTACAACAACTGCATAAGGTAGTCCTAACATTATCACCATCTTGTAGAGGAGAGATCTGAGACCTAGAGAAATTAGATTACTTGCCAAACACACACAGTAAGAAATGGAGATGAGATCTGAATTCAGGGAGCATGGATGTAGCACCTCAACTTTTTTTTTTTTTTTTTTTTTTAGACAGATTCTCGCTTTGTCTCCCAGGCTGGAGTGCAGTGGCTCGATCTTGGCTCACTGCAACCTCGGTATCCCAGGTTCAAGCAATTCTCCTACTTCAGCCTCCCAAGTAGCTGGGATTACAGGCGCACACCACCAAACCTGGCTAATGTTTGTATTTTTAGTTGAGACGGGGTTTTGCTGTGTTGGCCAGGCTGGTCTCAAACTCCTGACCTCAGGTGATCCACCCGCCTCAGCCTCCCAAAATGCTGGGATTACAGATGTGAGCTACCACCCCCGGCCAGCACCTCAACTCTTAACCACTATGCCTATTATATATGATATGATTCATTTTTCATATTTTTGTAAGTAATTCCATTCTTCCTAAAGCATAGGGTATTGATTTCAGAGCAGTCAAATGTGGAGAACAGAGGCTTCCTCTTCCCATGGTGGATTTAAATGCACTGCTCCCTGAGCTTGGTTGTAGGTGTGGACAAGATTTGTTAATTTGGTTCTTTCATTCATTAATTATTTATTGAGTAGCCACTATAATGCCAGATACCATTTGAAGTGTGAGAGAAAGAACAGTGAATCAAATAGGCAAAGTCCCAGTTATGGAGTTTACATTGTAGTAAACTCTAGAAGAATCAATTGATGGTTTGTCCAATCATGATAACCACTGTAGAGATAAGAGACATAGTGAGAGTACAGAGGAGAGACAGAACTGCTATATTATTCAGACGGGTCAAGGGAAGCCTTATTGACTAGAAGACATTTGAGCAGTGTAGCATAAGAAATACATATTTGGTCTTTGTCCTTGTTCCTGGCATACAGCTCCTAAAACTCTTGGAATTTCCTGAGTGATAGAGGTGATAGGAGTATCTTTTGTTATTCATAACACACCCCTTTCAACCATACCTGAGTTTATGCTAATGAGTTGACTCTTGTGGGCCCCTAGATATCTTCAAGATGGGGAATGGTTACCAGAGGATCCAACCAGGTGACTAAAGGTTTGGAATTTTCAGCACACCCTCCCACCTCTGTGGAGGTAGGAAGATTTGTGATTTAATCAATCATGCCTAACTAATGAATTCTCCATAAAAACACCCAAATGATGACGTTCAAAGAGTTCCCAGGTTAGTGAACACATTGATGGGCTGAAAAGGTGGTGCCTCAGAGAGGTCATGGAAGCTCCACACCCTCCCACCATACCTTGTTCTATGCATCTCTTCCATTTGGCAGTTCCTAAGTTGTATCATTTATAATAACCTGGTAACTGTAAGTAAAGTGCTTTTCTGAGTTCTGTGAGTCCTTCTAGCAAATTATTGAACCTGAAAAGGGGGTCGTGGGAACTCTTGATTTGTATCCAAGTTAGACAGAAGAGCGTGTTGCCTAGGGACCCAGTATTTGTGACTGGCACCTGAAGTGAGGGGCAGTCTTGTGAGACTGAGTTCTTAAACCTGTAGGTCTAATGCTAACTCCAGGTAGTGAGTGTCAGAGTCAAACTAAATTGTAGGACACCCGCTAGATGACTAGAGAAACAAAGAAATGGTTGGTGTGAGGGAAACACCCATACATTTGGTGCCAGAAGTGTTGTAAGTAAAAGCAGCTCCAGCAAAGACCCGAAGGAAATGAAGGAGAAAGTGTGCAGGCATCTGGGAGAAGAACACTGCGTGCAGAGAAAAGGAAAAACCTTGAGGTGCAATTGTGCCTGGCATGTTTGAGGGACAGAGGGGGACCAGTGAGTCTGGAGGAGCAGGTTGAGCTAGAAAAAGAGTGGTAAATTAGGAGATGAGAGAGTTAGTGGCGACTTTGGTGCGTACTCTGAGATAAGAAGAAATCAAGGGAGAAGGCTGGGCAGAGGAATGAAGGACTGATTTTTTTCTGCCTTAAGTTTAAGTTTTTTGTTTTTTGGGTTTTTTTTTTTTTTTAATCTGCCTGCTGAGTGAAAAATCAACTATAGAGAGACAAGGGTGGACACATGGGGGGAAATCAGGTAACTATTATAACAATCTAGGCAAGAGATGATGGTGGTAGCATTAGCTGTGGTGAAAAGTGGTTAGACTATATTTTGATGACAGAGGTGACAAATTTGAGAGTTATCACAATACAGATGATATTTAAGCCATAAAAGTGGCTGAGATCACCGAAGGAGTGAACCTTGGTAGAGAAGAAAAAATGTCCAAGGATAGAGATCTGAGAAACTTCCACGTTTAGAGGTTGGGGAATGTGGGAGGAACCTGCAAATGAGACTAAGAAGGAGTACTGGCCGGGCATAGTGGCTCACGCCTGTAATCCCAGCACTTTGGGAGGCCAAGGTGGGCAGATCACTTGAGGTCAGGAGTTTGAGACCAGCCTGGCCAACATGGTGAAACCCTGTCTCTCATAAAAAATAAAAATAAATAAAAATACAAAGGAGTAGCCAGGGAGGAGAGGAAACTCAAGAGAGTGGCATCATGGAAGTCAAGTGAAGAGTGTGCTGTATGGAGGAGGAGTGGGTAGCTGTGCTGCATAGTGTTGACAGTCAAGTAAGGATTGAGAACTGACCATTGGATTCAGCAACATGGAGGTCACTGGTGACCTTCACAAATGCTGCTTTGGTAAGGCAGAGGGCACGAAGGCCTGACTGGAATGGCTTTAAGAGAAAGTTGAGTTACCCCTAGATATGCTTTCACGTGGGCTTGTCATCGAAGTGGAAATGGAATCTGCTTTCACATTCCTCAGAGGCGGGCATTTTGTCCCTACAAAACCAAAGCTTATTTAGAAGCTGCAAATAAGAAAGTGAAGCCTTTGAACTTGGGAATAGTATTAAAGTTATCATCTAGGCCTTGAAATGTTGGAGTCACAGATCTTGCTCCAGGAAATAAAATAGACCAGCTGCTGAGTGTATTCTGGTCCTCTGCCTAAGACTATAGCTAAAGCATCTTTTATATATTGACCCAGGGAATATATCCTCACAGCCTCCCTTGACAACAAAACATAGCGTGTTTAAAAGTTTGTGCTCTTTGGGGACAAAATTTCTCTCTCTGATCAAAATTTCTTCTTCATGGTTCATAGTCCTTTTCATTTGTCAGTGTAGCATCCTCTGAATGTCTGCTGTGGTGCTGTGAACATTGGGCTAGAACATTGTAGAACTGAATTCTAATCCCTGCTCTGTTACTAATTTGTTGTGTAAAAATAATTTGTTTTGTAAAAATAATATTGTTACATTCCTGGATACCTCAGTATTTCCATCTGGTTTGGCTAAATAACTTCTAAATTTTGTTTTAAATCTCACATTCTCTGATTATTTCTAAAACATAAAGTTTCCAAAGTTCCTAATTTATCTCAGTCTTCTTTTCTTTATGTTAACTACAGATGCCTCTTACAACAGGAATAAGGGATATTTTGCAACCATTTGATCATCTTTGTAAATCTTCTATTACTTTGAATAGTTATAAATTGTGGGGAACAACACTCAATCTTGATGTCTCAAAAACTCAGGGCTATGAAATAAGCCAGGAAAAGAAAGTTAAATACCTCATGTTCTCACTCATATGTGGAAGCTAAAAACCACTGATCTTATGGAAGTAAAAAGTAGAACAGAGTATACTAGAGGCTGGGAAGGGTAGGAGGACAAGACGGATAGGGAGAGATTTGTTAAAAGATACAACATTTTGGCCAGATAGCAGAAATAAGTTCCAGTGTTCCTATATTCATCATTGTAGGAGGACTATAGTAAATATATAGTTTCAAATAGCTGGAGGGAGAATATCAAGTGTTCCAAACATAAAGAATTGATAAATGATTGAGATGATGGGTATGCTAATTACAATGATTTGATCACTACATGTTATATGTATCCACACATGACAAGGTGGCCCATAAATAGGTACAATTATTGTGTGTTAATTAAAAAAGGAGAATTAAAACAAAAAGGAAAAAACTAAAACCAAAACCCACTCAGGACTGAGCAACCAAATGGCAGCTAAGACCTGAATTCATGGCCCCTCTAGAACTGAAATGTTGCTATGCAGTGCTCTGGGACTGATTGCCTTCTTTGAGCTCTTTCAGTGTTAGAGTCAGTGAAGTCTCAGGCACCCATGGCTGGCTTTGTGCCCTTGGTCAAGGTAATTAACTTCGTATTCTCTGGCTTCTGAATGAAAAGGAGAATATCGTTATCATATATGTTGAGAGAACACATGTGATAGTCTTTGCAACTTACCTGAGTATGGCTACTCTTATCTACTTACCTGATAGACAAACTATTTGTAGTTGTGTGGCAATATCCACTAAATTCAGATTTTGATATGCAAAAATGGCCAGAGAGGTTCTCTTCACTCAGGACTTTATGGAAACAACAAAGAAGTTACATGAAAGTCAAACACACTATCAAGAATGAAAACCCTCCTGAAGTCTTTAATTCCGCTTACTGTACAGGGGATTCAGAAATCAACTCCTAGTTTCCTCGCACTTTAACCCTGTGATCAGGAGAATCATCTCTGTTTTGGTGTGGCCTGCAATTAATTACTTTTCTTTAAGAGATAAGGTCTTGCTTTGTCATTCAGGCTGGAGTGCAGTGATTCAATCATAGCTCACTGCAGCCTCCACCTCCTGGCTCAAGCAATCCTCCTACCTCTGCCTCCCAAGTAGTTAGGACTATAGGGATACACCACCACACCCAGCTAATTTTTTTTTCCTTTTTCTGTAGAAACAGGGTCTCACTATTGTCAGGCTTGTCTTGAACTCCTGGCCTCAAGTGATCCTCCTGCCTCAGCCCCAAAAAGTGTTGGGGTTACAGGCATAAGCCACCACGCCCAGCCTAGACAGATATTTAAAATATACTTCAAGAACTAAATCTTACCATTACTTTGCTAAACAGGTTTGATTCCCTACAGTGCAGACTGCAAACTTACTGGCTATGTATCTACACAAGCTCTTGCCTACTCTCTTTCCAAGTGTCCTCTTTCTATACTTTGCATTCTCTGTCGCACCTTTCAAAAAGCAAGAGGCATTTTAAATTTTGGGTGGGAGGAGAATTCAACCATTCAATCTCATTTGGGGTTCCATACAATGAAGAGAAATTTGGACTATGTGATACATCCTGTGTCGCATCGTTAATCATTTATTTTGCTTATTTTGCAATAGGGGAGGGAGTGGTAGAGTGGATGACAATGCCTACTTACACCATTTCTATCTTCTCTTTCATCCCTTCTGCTACCATATGAGCCCCTTAGGGAAGGATGGTGCCTTTCACTTCTGCATGTCTGACGTCTACGTCAGGGCCTAGCCCACATGAGGAACATAGTCAATAGCTGTTGGAATGAATAGTTGCTTCGAATTTTCCATCCTTGCCTTGGAGTGCAGTACAGGGTGTCATAGCACAGTGGGGTCAAGGATAAAGGACATCTCTCAGGGCGATCCAGGCTCTGGGCAATTCTAGAGAAGGTCGTGGTTTCCCAAAAATTTGTAGGCTGAGTAGAAATTTGTACTCTGAGAACAGAAGTCCCAAATTCTGGTCCACAGACTGGCATTGGTCACTAGTCTTCATTGAAATAAAATAAAAATGGGCAATATAGTGAGTTTTTAAATAAAGCTAAATTTATATTTTTAATCTAAGTTGATGCCCATTCTGAATTTTTTTTTATGTCTTGCTGCATTGAAAATAACCTTCTTTTAGAATTATGGTAAAGATAAATGGCAGATATTTTTCTTAATGCTCCTATCAGGAGAAAACATTGTTAACCTTACATTGCCTCCCCGTTTAGTTTAGTTTCATTTTGACATTTTTCCGCCCCATGTAATCTTTCTCAGGAGCAGTGTTACAACAGTGATTTATAATGAGACATGAGCCATTTTGAAAATCTGATCTAAAGTTTTATACCCTTTTCTCCAGAGAAACCCATATACGTATACACACACACACAAGCTTTTACCAGTAATTTTGGAAGGGACGCAGGCCTCTTTAAAATTATCCATGGACTTTTTAAGGACCCAGCAAACCCAAACTAAGAATACCTGGACCAGAGGAATCAACAGTCTTATTGTGAGAAAATTACTTTTTAAAATTCATTTGCTTATTAGTGAAATATTGAATATAAATAGAATTTTTCTATCACTACCTTTTAGGACCATTGAAAGTCCAGGGAACCAAGGCTTGAGATCAGAGATTTAATAGGTATTTTGAAAATGCAAATGACGCTCTGTCCATGGCAGCTGATACCAAGCATTTGAGCCAGTGTTCTGTGGGCACGGTGGGTACAGAAATCACTCTTCCCTTCGGCATTTTTTGCTGAGCATATGTTGTGACCCATCATCACCAACAGGGCTCTGCATCTCCCTGGCTGTCTGGGGGAGTCTTTTTGAAGGCATTTCAGCCATCTGTTTTGTGTTTCCTGTTCTCAAGAGTGCTTTGATGCCACGAGGAGATGTGACATGACATTTGGAATCTGGGCCCACGTGTCACAATGCCAAGGGCAGGGACAAACCTGGGTTGACTTGACTCTGGTCCGTTGTGTAGAGATGAACATGTCAATCAAATACCTCTGCCTGGGCAGTCATGTTCGCAGCTGGGCTGCTCGTATTTAGAGGGGAGGGGGAATGAGAGGGCTCAGAAAACTTCAGAAGAGAAAGACAATGCCCTCTTCTGCTCATCTTCCTCTGGGAAAGCCTTGGGGTAGAAGTGAAGACTGCAAGCTGGAGCAATGAAATTGGCAGCAATCAATAAGACCTCAGAATTGTAAAGATCGTCAAATCCAGAATTTCCCAAACTTCAGTTATCCAAGCCCCATAATCATGATTTTTTTGTTATCTGCATGCCACCAATAGTTGATTTTATAATTTCCTTAAATATTTGCTATAAATACAAAATAGATTAAAATAAAATAAAAACAAAGCAATCTTTTGAAATACTAGCTAGATACTGTGGCCTACAGAAGGCTCCAAACCTGATGTCTTCTAGTTCCTTGTTAAAATAGGAAATCAGTAAGGGATAGACACTTGTTAAAGGCACCAACTCAGACTTTTTCCTCAATGTGCTGGAAATAGTGAAAGCAAAATCAAAAGTGAATTATCATCACTTTATGTGCTTAATATTAGTTAATGCCATGTCCAAGAATTCACTAAATGTGAACACATAGATCTGACCCAAGTTCCTTATTTAGGAGTTGAAGAAGCTTAGAGAATGGGAAAGATTTGTCCAAAATAATCATGGTTCTATATCCCTCCTTATACTCATGTCATTTGCCAATTTTGCACCTTCTCCTGCTACAGGCAGATTGTAGGTGGCTGCACCTTGGCTTTGAGACTTGCTTTGTGACTTCCTTTGGCCAAGAGGATGCTAGCTGATGTGGTGTGAGCAGAGTCTTCAAATTTGTTTGCAGAATTGGGCTTGCTTTCCTGTACTTCACTGTCACCATGAGAAGGACATGTCATGGCCAGCCTCTTGGTCTAAGAAGGATGAGAGATATTTTGAGCAGACCTGGATCCAATCTGCAAAACAATTCAATATTGGACCCCAGACTGCCGACTCCCCTTTTTGGTGCAGTATGTGTGTGTGTCTGTGTGTGTGTGTGTCTGTGTGTGTGTGTGTGTGTGTGAGAGAGAGAGAGAGAGAGAAAGAAGTTGAGAGAGAAAGAATTATATGTAGAAGAGTAGAGAAGGGAGGAGAGGGCAGGGAGAAAAGAGGAAGGGAAGAGACGGGAAGGGAAGAAAGAGAAGAGAAGGGGAAAGAAAAGATCCATGTTCTTAGAGACCTGGGCCATATCTCATTCATCTTCTGTTTCCAGAAGTTACCACAGGCTCTCAAAAATGATAGTAGTAAAAAAAATGCTTTATATTTTATTTGACAGCTTTTAAATTCAAGAAGTATTTATTAAGGACTCTGTTATATGCCTAGGACTGAGCTAAATATACTTGGGAATACAAAGGAAGTTGTTTTGGGGCTGTGAGATATTACCATGTATCTGGGTGGCAAGGCCATACCTGCATAATGTGGCTTATTAGCAATTCAAAGCCATGTTGTTCCTGTGCATAAGTGACAAGTGCAGCCTTCCTCAAATATCATGGCACCCCTTCTGCCAAGCTTAGACTGTGCTATTCTCTCAGTGGACAGTGCAATCATTCAACACTCCATGGAGAGCTTCAGTTCTCCACAAACTTCATTTGTGGAGAATCGCTTCCTTCCGTTCCTCTTCTATTCCCTACAGACATTTCTATTCATGTTCTTTTTTTGTTGTTCTCTTTGCTGTTGTTTCAGAGCATACAAAGGTCCCTGTATACGTTCCAATGCGTTGCTCTTGTATGCAGTCATTCAGAAACCCAGGAATCATCATTCACATTTCCCCTCTATAATTGTTACCTGCCTGCACAATTGCGTGTAAGTTACACATTGAGCCCATTTTGTTGCACCTCCTTCACCGCCACCATGGTCAATGTCCCTATCATGTCTCACCTATTCTAGCTCCTAACTGGTTTCTTAACATCACCTCTGCCTAGTCTATTCCCCAAAGAGTAGGTGGAATAATCCTGTAGAATGTTAATCTGGTCATTTAATTCCTCTGCTGAAAACCACCTCAGTGGCATCCCCCTGCAATTAGAAAAAACAAAATGAAACAATGCAGATTTATTACTGTGGCCTAGATATAATACTCTGCATGATGTGGGCACTGCATAGGTCTATTTTGTAGATAAAACTAAGAATATTCCATACTACAGAAGTGACAACAATTTCAAGCCTATCATCATGCCAAAATAATTATAACCACCATCATAGTTACCATTTATTGACTGTATATGATAATATGCACATAATTAAGCTCTTTACACATACTGACTTATTTAATGGTCACAACAGTTCTATGAATTAGGTACTATTATTATCCCAGTTTTACATGTAAGGAAACTGAGGCACAGTATATTTAAGCAATTTCCCTAAGGCCACACAGCTTGAAAAATGACAAAACCAGGGTTAGATCCCAGACAGTGTGGCTCCCTTTACCACTATTGGGCCATGCAGTGACCCCTGGAATTGACAAAATGGAAGAAATATGATGAAACTGCCACCTGCTTGTCTATAACTATCATTTTCCTGGCTGGGTATCAGGCTATCTGTATCTTTTAACAGCTTAAGACAGCATAGTTTCTTCCACCTCCGGAGATGTCTGAACATAATAGCAGCAACAACAATGATTAGGAATCAACTGTTTAAAATTGATAATGTAGCTAAAGAGCTGAGGTGATCTTCTTCCAAAGAGGTAATTACAAGAACCCGGTGAGGATGGAAAGCATTTCACAGAAAATGGAATATGAGCAATCCTAACAGAAATGTCAAAAGGATAATGTGTTTTGTGAATGTTTATTGCAAACAGACAAAAGTAGGTTCAATTACTCATTGCAGCCTGTACATTTCTTTCTTTATTGGGTAGAAGACAGTCAGGTGTTTTGTTTTTCACAAAATAAAAAAAAAACAAAACTATTTTCCAGGATGGCATGGCTGTATTTTTAGCTTTGAAATTTTGATTGTGAATTTCTATGGCCTGTTAAAAAAATGCCAATGCAGCCTTGAAATATGAAAAAATATGATAGAAGCCGGTGAACATGATGAATCCACTGGACTTCATATACCACCTGTCCTTTGCTCCCTCCCTCCTCCAATCCCTGAGCTTTCTGAACACCTCATCTGTGATTCTGGGCACTTCTAAAGTAGAATCCGTATCCAGCACATGTCCCTACATGGTAAAATAAAAACAATCATCACTTCTCTGCTGTTGCCCCTGCAGGAGAGATTTTTTTAAGTCTATCTTCACTACTTCTTTTCCCCAAGTTAGGCCCTTTGGAGTGGAAATAAACATCATGGCCTTTGCAGAAAACTGAGTTTTAAATCTTAATAATAGTGTGACTTTGTACAAACTCTTTATCCTCACTGAGCCTCAGTCTCTTCTGGTATCTAGTGGAAATGGTGATGCCAGCATCATAAAGCAGTTGTCATGGTTAAATGAGATGTATTAAAAGTACCTAGTGCCTAGTAGTTCTTAACTATAATGATTTGAGCCCTTATTGGGTGCCAGACCCTTTACTTTTGTTATTCCATTTAATTCTATAAAGTAAAAATTATTATTCCCATTTGACAGATAAACTGAGTCTGGAGGCTGAGGCAGCAGAATTGCTTGAGGCTAGGAATTCAAGACCAACCTGGGCAACACTGAAAGACCCCATCTCTACAATTTTTCTTTTAATTAACTGTGCATGGTGACATGTACCTGGAGTCCTAGCTACTCAGGAGGCTGAGGCAGAAGGATCGATTGAGCCTAGAAGTTCAATGCTACAGAGAGCCTTGATCCTGCCACTGCACTTCAGCCTGGGCAACACAGCAAGACCCTGTCTCAAAAATAAAGAAAAATGAAGAAGCTGAGTCTCCAAGGGGTAAAATAACTTGCCTATTATGGCTTGAATTGTGTCCCCGCCAAAAAAGTTAAAATGGAGTCTGAACCCTCAGTACCTCAGAATGTGAACTTATTTGGAAATGAAGTCTTCACAGAAGTAATCAAATTAAAATGAGGTCATTAGGATGGATTATAATCCAATATGACTGATGGTCTTATTAAAAGGGGAAATTTAGACACAGAGACAGACATGCATAGCACAGCAGAGGATGATGTGAAGTCACACAGGGAGAAGATTACCATATGACTGCAGTGATGCACCTATCAGCCAAGAAATGCCCAAAATTGGCAGCAAACGCCAGAAGCTAGAAGGAGGAAGGGAGTATTCACCCTTTAAGTCTTCAGAGAGAGGACGGCCCTGCTGACAGATTTCTAGCCTCCCAAACTATAAGACAGCAACTTTCTGTTGTTTTAAGCCACCCAGTTTTTGGTACCAGCAGCCCTAGAAAACTCCTACATTGCCTAAAGTCACACCGTTAATAAGTTGCAACATGAGGATTTAGTTCCTGGTCCATTTGACTTGAACCCTGGGCTGTTAGCCTCCATCATTGCTGCTAAAAAAAAAAAAAAAAAAAAAATTCTGCCCCTGGGCCAGCAGCATGGACCTCACCTGGGGACTTTTTAGAAATGCAGAATCTCAGGCTCCAAACCTATAGAATCAGAATCTGCATTTTTACAAGATTCCCAGATGATTCTTAAGCACTTAAAAGTTTGAGAAACACTGCTATATACTACCTTCCATAGCTGATCAACAAATATTAATGACCTTCTCTTCTTCAGCTTCTCTTTTGTGTGCTATTGCAACAGGCTTCTGGTGGCTCTTTTTGTTTCTAGTATATTCTCTTTCCAATCTATTTTCCATTCTGCTCAGCATCCTTCCTTAATCTCCCAAGATTAATTTTGGCCCTTACATATGGTAGGGAAAGTGGGGGTACATTAAAAAGATTACAGGGTTTGGACCCTATTGAACTTGTTTTAAAATCCTGCTTTACCACTTAGTAGATGTAGAGAAGGCTACTTACTTGTCCTTTCTGGACTTCAACTTTTTTATCTGTTCCTAGTGCTGTTACCCTAGTAGAAGCTGTTATCATTTTTTTTTTTTATTGCCTGCAGTACGGAAGTGGCCTCATAACTGGACTTCTCATCTCCCCACACTGATCTCAATTTATTCTCCTCAAGGTGACCTTAATGATCTTTCCAAAAAGCAAATCTGATCATGTCATTTCCGATTAAAACCCCCCAATAACTTCCCTGCCCTTAGGATAAAGTCTGAATTCCTGAAGCTGGCTTCTTGTTATCTCATGCCTCTTGCCAACCCCCACTCCCACTTTCTTATCTATTCTCTGGGCACTCTAACCTTGCTTTACTTTCCCAAGTCAGTAATCACCTCTTTCAGGATTCTTCACTGCACTACACCTTTCTCCTATGAACTCCTATATCTCAGTGTGACTTCTTGGTGCTGTTCTGTGTCATGATATTAATCAAACTTTGTATTAATTTGCAAGTTGAGTTGTCTACATCCCCCACTATACTACATAAAAATGAGGGCAATGTGACTGTCATTATGTTATTTGGATCTCAGCACCTAGCCTTGTTTTGGTGTATAGGCAGCCCTCAATTTTCTGAATAGATAAAAGAAATCGGGAGATGACCCAGTTTTCGGGTGAGCATTGTGCATTCTCTTTAAAAAACATTTATTTCTGAAATCCCACTGCCATTTTACAGGTTAGTTGCCAGTTGCAGAGTAAGTACAGGAACGAGCAATATATTCTTTCCGAAATTTCTTTGTTCTTTGCCACATGATGCAGCCTCCTCGATCCTACCTCATTGCACAAAGCTAAAGTATTTACTCCTATTTGTTTTAAGTAAGGCCTATGCAATCTAATTGCTTATCAGATGCTTGCATTTAAGAAAGAAAAACTGGCTAATTAACGGGACCCAGTAATGACAGTATTAAGGATCAGAGCTCTGTACGTGGCAGCATGATGATGGAAGACACACAGTGGGATTTAGAGAGTCTTTGGGCTTTAAATGGTTTTATCATCCCCAGAGATGTATAAGCACCAAATCCAAACCTAACAAGAAGAAGACATTCTGAAGAGGATGAATGAACAGGAAGTTGATCCGTAAGACCTGAGAACATGTCACTCTGGTGCATTGTTAGTAGTAAGAAATGCTGAAAGTTTAAAGTTTGGTTGTTAGAAATACAAAATGAAGCTCATGAGCCATTTGTGAAATTAACACAAGAGTAACAAAAGTGGCAAAGTTTAAAAACCAGAAAATTTCATTCATGTGGGATCGACCAATTTTGTTCTCACATATCCCATGGCTCAATAAATTCTTATTGAATGAATTTCTCATGTCGGACCTTTACGGGAAAATATACATATACACACATATACAAACCTTTATTAAAAAGCATAAAAGAAAACCTGAATAAATGGAGAGTGTGATACCCTATTCATGGATAGGAATACTTTGTGCTGTAAAGATGCCACTTTTTCCCAAGTTGATTTATAGATTCAAAGCTACTCCAATCAAAATCCCAACAGGGATTTTTAGACAAATTGACAAACTGGGCCTAAAATTCAGGTGCAACAGGAAACGGCCAAGAAAAGCCAAAGATCTTTGAAAGAGGAGGAGAGAAAGAAAGAGAACTGACTGACTCTACTAGATACCAAGATTTACTTGGAAGCTATATATAATTTTGAGAAATGTTTTCTGTTTTATTGTGTGTTTGATTACCTTTTTACTTGCTTGGATTTTTTGTTTGTTTGTTTTTTGTAAACTGGTCATTCAGGGAACTGAGTTTTGGAAAACTTGTCTAGAGTCACTCTGTACTAAGGGATTGGTTTGGATGAAAAGTGAAAATGTGCATTGGGAATCTGCCGTCTTGGAGCTCAGCTTTGATATTGTAGGCTGGAGCTCAGGGCAGGGGAAAGAAAAGGAGGCCTGGAGTCAGATATACCAGGGCTGAGCCCCAGCTCTGCTCTCACTAGCTGTGAGACCTTGGACCAGTGGCAGACCTTTGAATCGCAATTGTTTTGTTCGTTTGTTTGTTTGTTTTGTTTGTTTGTTTGTTTATTTTAGACAGAATCTCCCTCTATCTCCCAGTCTGGAGTGCAATGGCACACTCTCAGCTCACTGCAACCTCCGCCTCCCGTTTTTTTTCAAGCGATTCTCCTGCCTCAGCCTTCCGAGTAGCTGGGATCACAGGCGCATGCCACCATGCCCGCCTAATTTTTGCATTTTTAGTAGAGACGGGGTTTTACCATCTTGGCCAGGCTGGTCTCAATCTCCTGACCTCAGGTGATCCACCCACCTCGGCCTCCCAAAGTGCTGGGATTACAAGCATGAGCCACCGTGCCCAGCCGAGTCTCAATTGTTTAATCTACAAAATTCAATTAAATAAAACCTAATTGGAAAAATTCATTGTTGGAGTACATTTGGCTGCTTTTAAAATCTATTTATTCAAATTAGAAATAGCTTTCCATAAAGTGGGAGTTGCAAACTCAAATATTTACAGGGGCCAGGCATATAATGCCCACGTATGTAGTAGCTGCATAAAAGATGATGGGGAGGGAATATCATGGCAAACTGTGAGTAAGCATAAAACAGAGCTGTGGCCAAATCTGCCCCCTTTTCTCCAGTTTGCAATTTCAGTTCAGGAGCAAAGAACCTGGCCTGGGACTCAGAAGAGGATGAGATAAGCTCTCATTCTTGCTCTGCCTCTGACAGTGGTGTGACCCACGGCAAGTTAGTTCACTCTCTGGGCTTCATTTGTCCACTTCTAAACTGGAAAGATTAGACTCTGTATGGGTGATTGTATCTCTGCGATTCTGAAACTCCTTTCTATGATTCTAACTTGTGGTTGTACTTGCCAGTCTTACCTCTAGAATTGGAAGTAAAAAAAGTTGCACTTCTAACATTGGAAGATCCAGGTTCAAATGCCGACTCTGCCATTTACAAACATGCCTCTTAAGAATGTCCCAGAACTTCACTGCACTTCAGATTCCACCACTAAAATATGAAAGAAGAGTAATTATATCTTCTTCACAGAGTTAGGGTAACAAGTGTGATGATGAGCTATAAAATGTTTTGCAAAGAGGGCAACAATAGGATGAAATGTGGATAAACATCATAGAAAGAGATGTAGATAAACAGTCTACCAGGTCACAGACACCTAACACCTTTTTGTTATTTGAAAATCCCGTTTTCATGAGATGTAGGCCCTGCTATTCCCATTTTACATATGAGAAAACAGAGATTTCAAAATGTTCAGTAGCTTGCCTAAGAAGTCAGAGAGCTACTAAGGAGGAGACCCAGACATTGGAATCCTTTCCTCCTGGTTCCGAGGCCCATGCACTTGTTTTTCTATACATTTCTTCCTCAGAGGGGTCAGCCAAGCTCACTGCCAGAAGTCTACAGTTCTCATTAGGTCCAGTGGCATGTCCAGAGAAATCCACTGAAGTCGAGGGTAGCAGGTACATTTCCAACCACCCATCAGTCAGCGCTTCGACCCCTATAAATGAGGCAGTCAGCCACATTTGTATAAAGTTGTGGGCTTTTTCTATGCTTCCTATGTTAAATGTCATGTTGAGGGCAGGCAGCCCAAGACTACAGTTCCTGGACATGAGCAAGAGTAGGCCAAAGACCCCAGGTGAACTCCCTCCTGACTCAGGCAGAACACAGCTGCTTCAAGGGATCACCTCTCATTCTCTTTATGAAACCAACATGCTGTTCCAGCCCCGGGGAACACAGGTCAGCAACTTCATGAATTACCCTTTTGCTTGTAATCCAGTTGCAGTGGTGAAATATTATGTTGCCTAGGGCAAGGCTATTCCTGGCTCTTAGTTTTTTAAATTACCAAGTTTCTTGTTTGGAAGGAAGGAAGATTTATTGAATGCCTACCAAGTGTCAGGCATGTGGCCACTCACTTTGCATTGATGACTTTATTTAACCCTTACAAGAACTGTATAAATTAGATTCTGTTACTTCAGTTTATCAGATGTTAAGGGGGAGGCTCAAACAGCATAAAGAAACTTAACCAGAAGCCACAGTTCAGTACATTCTAGAGCCTTGAATCATTATCCCTGGCTCTCAAACTCCAAAATCTAATGCTTTTCACACCACCAGTCTGCTCATCAGTGTGACACTGATGACAAATTGGCCTGTGAAATCAAATAGACTTTCATTTATTAATGATCTATAATGGAAGAAGACCTCTAGCCCAGCTAATAGAAAGCTTATTTTGTTTTATGAACAGAGAATAATTCATTCATTTGCTAATACTCCATCCCAGCTAAAAGCTGAGCCAAGCTTGCCTTTAATCTGTTATAAAGCATAAAAGCAACGATGTCCCCACACCCCATGCCTCTAGAATATCCCATTTGGGACCTGAAAGAATGGTGCTTCCTTTGTCTCAACATCAAAACCCGGCTTATATCTTGACAGGTGTATATATGGGTTGAAAAATGTAAATAAATAGAGAAAATCAAACCCCTTGGGTTGCCCAGTTGTCCCATTTGCCAAGAAAATGAAAGCAAGGATAACTTAAAATGAATAAAAATATACTCTCCATTTGGAAGTCTGAAACTGACAGTGTTTACCAGAAATTATATGAGCGGAGAACTCAAGCTTCTATTTGATTGTGGGTTTGAATCCGCGCCTGAACTCTGAGATTCTCTCTTTGTGAGCAATTGCTACTGCTGGGGGAATTGGCAGTGTGACCAGGCCGAGGCAAGGGATAAAATGATTAGGTCCAAGACTTCATTGCGAAGCTTCTTCCTCTGAGATTTAGAAGCCATCTCTGTTTCAGTCTCTTAATGTTTCCTGAACACCGTGAATTTCTCCAGGGGGCTTTACAGCCAGAACTGATCGCATTCAATTCTCCAGGGAGGAAACAGGCAGGTTTGTCTTATTTATTTATTTATTTATTTATTAAGTAAAGAATAGAAATGGAGAGGAGAGCCCCCTTATCTTTATTGTGGTGGTTGAGGAGGGAACCCTGAGAGTTTCCGGCCCTCAGCCTGTATCTCTTCCCTGTTGGATCTAACTGCCCCCGATAATTGTCCCCACCCTGCCTGCCTGGTTCCTTTGCATCCTTTCTCTCCCATGTTTTTCTTCTCCATCTTCCTTCTTTCCTTCTCCTTTTTCTCTGTCCTCTTCCATCCTCACCCTAATCTTCTGCAACAGGTTTTAAGCCTTTGATCTGGTCAGCCTCTTGTAGTTAAAAGTCACCAAGTCTCCCTCAAAGCAGTGCAACTAAAAGCAGATTTACTGTAAGGACTGGAACTGAAGAGTCATCAGGGCTGAGAGAGGGTGGCTGAGAGGTAGCATCCCCCTCCAGTTGCTGCTCAGGAGCCCCCTTTGTCTCCCCTTATAGACCCACCAGTGTCTCAGGACCTGCTTGCTCCCTTGAACTCAGAGTTGCCAAAACCCCTCCAGGTTGTGGCCCTGCCTTCTCCTCACCTATCTCTGTCTGCATCTGTCATTTTTAGCTCCTCCTTCTAGCTATATTATGCCCTTCACAGTTCCTAGTTTAGATTCTCAACAAGGAATCTGATGGCCACACATTTTCTCTGTGGTGCTCTCCTATTCTTCCCCTTCACCTCCTCCCACTAGGCCACCTCCCAGGTAGTCAGTCGGTCTGATCAACCTTTGGATTGTGTACCATAGGACCAGGTGCTCAGCAGTATCCAATCAGCTGAGGCTGAGCAGTAAGCCTCAATTGGCCACCTTTGGTGGCTGCCCCAAAGCAGCAGTTTGGAGGAAACAGTATCCCCCAGGAGGAGACTGGGGTGGGAATAGAAATATGATCAAAATGTTAAAAGCAGCCCTAGAGTCCTGAGACTTCTGACATCAGTAAATGAGAGGAGTTCGTGTGGCTAGAACTGCTGCATCAGTGATAGAATCCAATATTTTATTGAGCTGCAGTGTCATGTCAGGCGGTACAGATACAAAGATAAAGGGATATGACCTCTACCTTCAAGCCTCTCACAGCGGGTAAGAGAGGCAACTTGAGGATGCCTGCAGCCCGGCAAACAGAACATCTGGCTTTAAGACATCTGAGAGATCTAGTTTAGCCCCTTCTGTTTCCCAGGTCAAGAAAGAGAAGCCCACAGAAGTTAACAGACTTGCCAAGAGTTCCATTGGTAGTTATGGGTAGAGATTTCATTTCAACTACTATTTATTAAATATGCAATCTAGGGACTGGGATAGACCTTTTAACATTTATTATTTCATTGAATGTTTATTACAATAGTGTGAAGTAGGATTTATCTGGAGAAGAGACCTGAGTTTCAGAAAGGTTCACTGACTAACCGAGGGCCACTCAGGTAGGTAGGAGAAAAATGAAAGGTCTGTGATCTGTGTCACAAAGGCAGTGTTAGAAATCAGAAGTATAGCATCAAAATGTCTGTAACAAAGCTCACTGATGGGGTCTTTCCTGCTCTTTGAGAGAACACATACTGAATGGTTAGAAATAAAGCAGGAGAGAGGACATTTTTGAGAGCCTGGATATGAAAGGAATGTGATAGAAACACAAAAAGGGAAGGAGAGATGGCATCTTCAAGGTGATCAATACTAAATATGTGTTAATTGAGAGCTTTTGAATATCCCAGGAAAAGATCCATTTCCAGGTAAATAGGATGGCCCAGCAACAAAGGAGAGAAAGAATCAGGTGGGGCCTTGACTGTAGGCAGCACAGGGCTTGCTCAGTGCACCAATGAGACATTCCATCCTTATTTTCCTTACCCCCAAAGCCCTCTGCTTGACCAAAAAACTATTTGAAATATCATGTGTATTGATTTTTTTCACCAGGATGGATTTGCAATGTTTCCTAAAATAAAAGCATCCAGAACAAGATGAGAACTGAGCTACTGGCATTTGCAAAATTGAAAAGCTCTGCTGGTCAACTGAGCAGAATGCAGAGGCAGGATAATGTTTTTTGGTTGTAGCATCTCAAGTCCACTTCTTGGCTTTGGATTTTTTCATCTTCCTCTTTCCTTTCCATTTCATTTCCTTCTATTCTCCCTTTCTCTGTTCTACTTTCTCCCATCCTCTTCCATCTCCTGCCCTATGTTTTTATAGCATAGTACATAGAATGGGGATCATCACTCAAATTGCCACATGGATTAAGGGGCCACTAAAATTAAGATGTAACACTACAGGGAGTGGAGAGGACTGTGGACAACTGGAAAGCACATGCCCTGCGGCTTACTGGGGGCAATGGCTACTCCGTTCCACCTCATTGTCACCATCCCCAACTGTGGACCTGGTGTTGCCAAGGCTTCCAACTCTTCAAAAGAACCTGGAAATCTAGATATGTCTTTTATGAAATACCATGAATTTAAAATGTTATCAATTAATTCAATTCCTTTTCACATTCTTACAGACTGGTAATGACTTGTAGGGCACTGGCTTCTGACTACTAGTCTACAGTAAGAAACAGTTGAAATCCTGGCTTCAGGACTTCTAGCTGTGTGACTCTGAGCACTGTCTCTTAACCACTCTGAGCCTTAGTTTCACTGGCTGTCGGGTAGTGGATAAGACAGGATATCAAGTGCCAAGCTAACTGCCTTATGCAGAATAGATACACTGTCAATATAATTCCCTCCCCTCACTTCCACTCCATCCCGTAGGGTGACCATGGTGTTTTTAGTCATGTACACATCTGATTCCAGAGAATATTCAGTCCATAACAAGACCAATGGCTTCTCCAACATCATCCTGAGTTCCTCCTGCAAATAATTGAATCACAAGAGCTCCCAGTGTGTTCTCACTCAGCTTTGCTGAAAGCCATTTCCCAAAAATGCATTTTATGTGGGCAATGAGTCTCTATTCATGCACAATTTCACATGAAAAGATTTGCCCTTTTCATCGTACGCATGGCTTGAATTGGCCAGCCTGCATGAAAAGATTTCCATTCATTAGCATGCCAAATGATGTCACTGGCCTGGAACATGGGTGGATATTGCTATAGACTCAAAGAATCCTACTCTAAAGATTCTCAGAAGAAGCCACCTAGTCTAACCTTCCACACAGTAGTCCTTTAAATGCAGCTGAAACCTCTCCCTAAGGTGGTAGGGGCTCACTATTCTGGGAAGCTGCCCTGACCACTCTAGTTATTTGAAATGTCTCCTTGTATCAAATTTAAATCTAAATTTCAGTAACTTCTGCCCATTGCCTTGGCTCTACCTTCCAGCAATACTGAGAATAAGTTTTGTGACAACACTAGTGATATCCAATTAAATAAGCATAATAGAGAATTTATATAACACATGTGCCAAGAATGTTTTAGATTTTTAACATACATTTATTTATTTAACATGCACAAACACTCTATAAGGCATGTAATAATCGCATTCTCATTTTAAGAATGAGAAAACTTGAGGCACAGAGCAATTAAATGGCATGACCAAGATCTCATGCTCCCAAGTGGGAGAGTCAGGAAGGAAGTTCAGGCAGTCTGGCCTCATGGGCTTAAGGACTGCAATATTCTGCCTCTCTATGGCAGAATAAATGAATCACACCTGTACCTGCACCAAAGTTTAGTATTGGGGCAAGGTCTTTGATGTTGCCCAGAGGACATATTTTACATCTACCACTTCTTTGCAGAGTGAGCTTTGGTAAGCCACTCTGTATCCTAGACATTTTAATGAGGGTTATGCCTCTTCTCAAGTGTCTTAGGAGTAAAATCTCTGTAAATTGCCTTGAGCAGTGCCTGGCAAGTAGTAGGCATGTGATAGATTTTTGTTGAGTCAACAATAATGATCAAGACTCTAGACCATGCTTTACCAAGTCCTTCCTCTTTCCTTCTATAGCAGACTTTCCAAGTCTTTAAACTTCCTGCTCAGCCTTCCAGCGACACTCTATTTTTTCTGTCCCTTTAAGCATGGATATTTCAGTGCCAGTTGGCCTAGCTCAGAATACAATGGTATTCTTTTTTTTTTTTTTTTTTTTTTTTTTGGACAGAGTCCTCCTCTGTCGCCCAGGCTGGAGTGCAGTGACGCGATATTGGCTCACTGCAAGCTCAGCCTCCCAGATTCACGCCATTCTCCTGCCTCACCCTCCCAAGTAACTGGGACTGCAGGCCCCTTCCACCAATCCCGGCTAATTTTTTGTATTTTTAGTAGAGACAGGGTTTCACTGTGTTAGCCAGGATGGTCTTGATCTCCTGACCTTGTGATCCACCCGCCTCGGCCTCCCAAAGTGCTGGGATTACAGGCGTGAGCCACCGTGCCTGGCCTACAATGGTATTCTTACTAATTTAACTCTCTATTCCCATCATTGCAGCCCAAGACTGTGCTGATACACTTCTTTCTCCTCTCTCTCAAGTGTCTATTCTGTTCCAAATACTACATTAGTAGCTGAA
Source organism: Homo sapiens (assembly GCF_000001405.40). NCBI lineage: Eukaryota > Metazoa > Chordata > Mammalia > Primates > Hominidae > Homo > Homo sapiens. Next base: position 57,747,401 of record NC_000001.11, on the reverse strand, counting down.
GACAAATGTGTGAATTAAGACAAAAGCTTTGTCCTAAGTACCCCTCAGGTAGAATAAAATACATGCAAGAAAGTTATGGATAAGGGTACAAAGAGGACAGGAAGGAGAAGGACAACCCTACTCTTCCAAGGTTGGGGCAAGCACATAAAACATTTTTGAGTGAGGAAGGCAAGGGCAAGAAGGGGCGAATATGTATGGTTTAGAACTTTGGGAGAACTTAAATGTCAAAAACCAAACCTTAAAATCATTAAACTCATATGAGACTATCTAAATGGTCTTCAAATGGGTCATGGAGAAATTCATAAATATGACAAAAAAGCATAACATATAAAGGATAAGACTGGTAAATTTTACTACTTCAAAATAGAAAATGAATGTATACCAAAAAAGAAAAACACAAAAAGCCAACGTATAATAAGAGATGTTGGTTATGTGGTCACCCACTTGAAAATATTTTCATCATATATAACACAGGGCAAATATCTAGAATACACAGAGAAACATTAAATCAGTACGTAAAAGACAAAAAAAAAATGGTATTCTTAGCCCTCCATATCCATGACTTCCACATCATGGGTTCAACCAATCACAGATTGAAAATATGAAGGGGAAGGAATAACAATATAACAATACAAAATAATAGAAATAAAAATGATACAATATAACAACCATTTACATAGCATTTACATTGTATTAGATCTTATAAGTAATCTAGAGATAATTTAAAGTATACGGAAGGATATCCATAGTTTTTATGCAAGTACTCTGCCATTTTATATAAAGGATTTGAGCATTTGCAGATTTGGGGGTTTCTAGGGGGTCCTGGAACCAATCTCCTGCAGACACCAAGGGAGAACTATATTTAAAAAATGGGTAAAGGAAATGTACAGGCAATTCACATAAGGGAAATCTTAAGTGCAGATAAACATACTCTCAACCTTAATAATCTGGGGAATTCAAATTGAAATAATAACAAAAAATACAATTTCTCATCCATCAGATTAGTGAGTATTTAAAGGTGTGACAAGATCAAGTGTTGGTGAAGAAATAAATGGGACTCATCATATCCAGAAAAAAAATGAAGAAATATACATTGATAATATACCCTTAAAGAGCAATTTGGCTCTCTGAGGATATGCATTCCTATGACCTAGTAATTCTGAAAATACACACATACAGATATATACCTATTTATACTTACACACACGTATACAGTAGAGAATATTATGGACATGTGCATGGAAAGACATGGACCAGAAAATTTATTGCAGTCCTATTTATAATTTAAAACATTTAAACCACCTGTATGTTCATCAATTGGGGAAAGGATCGCTAAAGTGTTTACATAATGAGACAGTTAAAAAGAATAGACTAATGGTGAGATCTGAAACATGTAAGTTGAATTTTAAAATGTGCACAATGATATGTAGTGTATGTACAGTATAATACTGTTCATGAAAATCTTCTTTAAGCCACTCATAAAGATAAATCAACAACTTATGTTGTTCGTACATAAAATGTATAAATAATAGACTATTAAAGATATCCACTTAATTCATGAAAGTAGTGGCCACTGGAGAGGGAAGAAGAGATGGAACTGGCAGTGACAATCAGAGGGGACTTTAAAGTTTGAAATGTTTGATGTGTTTATTTGAAAAAGATTTAAAACAACTGTGACAAAAATCTTAGAAATTATCACTTACTGGCAGTTGATTCGGGAATGTTTATTTTATAATTCATTGCATTTTTGGTAATTTTTATAAATGTCTCAAAAACTTAAATATAATCCCAAGAGAAAAAGAGCTCCTTTAAAAGTCATATCTGGTTGATGAGTGAAGGTGGGGAGGTAGGTCAGTTGCCTAGGGTTTTTTCCCTGGAATGGCTGTAGTATAATTCAATTCCAGCTCACTGTAAAGAAAAGTAACAGAACAATCCAAGTGATCTCTGGATATAGACTTAACAATCCTCACAGAAATGAGTAGTATAATTGTTTGCTAAAAATCAAATATAAAATATTAAGCAAATTAAGTGAAATTAAGAAAATTTCACTTTTGTGTATTTAAACTCATCTAATTAAAGTTTCAACAAACATTGGTGAGCCCTACCCCTGTTGAGGTCACCATGCTAGATGGAAGGGACACAGATAAACAACTTCCCGGGAAGTAGAGCACCAACGCCACACTTTACTGGATACATTCCCTTACCTCCAAATCTCCCTGCCACGAGTTTACTTTGGTAAATATTTCCCACAAAACACCAGAAGCAGATATTACTATCCCTAATCTATAAATAATTATATTGACATTCAGTAATTTGCCCAAGGTCATTACCAATTACTAAATGGCAGAGTTCATTCTCAGACTCAGATTTTCTGACATGAGATTCATATTGCTAAAATAGACATTGGATCATTTAAGAAATGTGAGACTAGTGCTCCTTAGAAATGTACAGGGTTCTGTGAAAAACACAGTTTTCCAAACTGTGTTTTTTGTCCTTGAAACTGAGAAAGAAAATTGCAGGTGGAACTAATAGTCTTTGGACAGCCGGCCTGCCTCCCATTTAGCTTTTGTTCCTACTGGACAGGAACCATGTCCTCGGCCATAGTTTCTGTGCTGAGGATGTATGTGCTTAAATGGAGAACACGCCTCACACCTGCCAGTGGAGAATGGCTACTTGGCAGGTCTGTGAGTACCTCATCGAATCTTCTTTGTTCAGAGGACACTTGCTCATGTGGACAGCCCAAGGAGCAAGATGCCGAGGAACAAAAGACATCGGAATCCAGACCCCCAATATCATAGTTTTCTTTCCACTTCCTCGGTGACTTCAGCCAAAATAACTTCTCTGATCCTTAAATTACAAGTACTTAGAATGGTGCCAGTTCTTCGTTTGCCGATATATTAAGGAGACTAAATGAATAAAATATGTCCAATAACAAAGTCATTGTTGAGCTTTTTTTTTTTTTTGAGACAGAGTTTCACTCAAATGGTTTCTCTTGACCCTCAAGGAAGCCCTGTGAGATAAAAAGAAAAATTCCTAAAATCTGCATCTTTCAGAGGAGACTCTGAGAAGTTACACAACACTACATAACACTACATAACTACTACGTGGTTCTCTGCTCACCAGAGGTATCTTTAGGCTAAACCTGCATCCTGACAGCCTGTTCACCAATTATCATTCTAATGGATGCCAACAGCCTTCCGAAGTTGCCCAGTGGTTTCACCTGCTTCTCAGAGTCATGTTGGGAGCAAGCCCCCCAAAATCCTGCCATAAACTGGCCCCAAAACTGGCCATAAACAAAATCTCTGCAGCACTGTGACGTATCCATAATGGCCCTAATGCCCAAGCTGGAAGGTTGTGGGTTTACGAGAATGAGGGCAAGGAACACCTGGCCCGCCCAGGGCGGAAAACTGCTTAAAGGCATTCTTAAGCCACAAACAAATGCATGAGGGATCTGTGTCTTAAGAAAGTGTTCCTGCTGCAATTAATTCAGCCCATCCCTTCATTTCCCATAAGGGATATTTTTAGTTAATTTAATATCTATAGAAACAATGCTAATGACTGCTTTGCTGTTAATAAATATGTGGGCAAATCTCTGTTAGGGGCTCTCAGCTCTGAAGGCTGTGAGACCCCTGATTTCCCACTTCACACCTCTATATTTCTGTGTGTGTGTCTTTAATTCCTCTAGCGCCGCTGGGTTAGGGTCTCCTGGACCGAGCTGCTCTCGGCAGAGTCAGGTGAAGCTCGGCACACACCTGTAGGCCCTGCTCAAACACGTTCTCCATGGGTGATACCTGGAAAGTACCCAGGGCTGGCCCCTGGATGACCTCGGTCAAGGTACCTTTCACGCGCATCCGTGTGGAGAGACCACCAAACAGGCTTTCTGTGAGCAACATGGCTGTTTATTTCACCTGGGTGCAGGCGAGCTGAGTCCGAAAAGAGAGTCAGCAAAGGGTGATGGATTATCATTAGTTCTTATAGGTTTGGGGATAGGTGGTGAAGTTAAGAGCAATGTTTTGCAGGCAGGGGTGGATCTCACAAAGTACATTCTCAAGGGTGGGGAGAATTACAAAGAACCTTCTTAAGGGTGGGGGAGATTACAAAGTACATTGATCAGTTAGGGTGGGGCAGAAACAAATCACGATGGTGGAATGTCATCAGTTAAGGCTATTTTTACTTCTTTTGTGGATCTTCAGTTACTTCAGGCCATCTGGATGTATACGTGCAAGTCATAGGGGATGCGATGGCTTGGCTTGGGCTCAGAGGCCTGACAGTACCCTTTCTGAATGACACCCTTGCTGCTCTTTGAACTCAGGACAGCCTAGGGACAATAAAGGAGCAGTTGTGAACAAAGAGTCTATGACATGGCATGAGTTGTTTCTACATCACCAATAACCGATGTCTACATCAATAATTGCATACACACCTCCCTGTGTATACAGCGGCACACAATACAAAGGCATGGGTATGGCATACTTTGGGTATTAACTCTCAGCTTGGTCTCAGGACCTTCTTGCCAGACAGTCTTGATTTTGCACTTCCACACCTTCACACTGGTGCTTCTCACTGCCCAGATACCATCCTGGGTTGCCCTGGCTTCTAAATCCCACCACTCCTTCAGATGTCAGCCTTTGCATCATTCCTCATCATTCCTGCCCTCCCAACTCCAGATTCAGTTGTTCCCAGGCATATTCCCAGACAGCCCTGTCCTTTTCCTTTTGTGATGGGTAACACATCAAATGGATAATCATTGTCCTTGTCTGTGCTAGGGGAGGAGCAACAGGCCTGTGGAGAGCCCAGAAATTTCCCGTCTGTAGGCCCATATTTGTATTTTTACACAGAACCAGGTTCCTAGCTTGGGGCACTCCTACAGGCCTCCTGCCCTCCTTTATCATGTCACTATCATAAAGAGAGTGGTTTGGGGCTCAACACAGCAGGATGGTCCCTCCCCATTATATCTCACTGACACCAGCCAGGGTCAGGGTGACTTTGCTGGTTTTTCTCCATCCCCCATCCTTTTGATCCCACATTTTGATAGAAAACTATTTTTCCTTAAATTCATTATTAACATTGTTTTTGAAACACCATGAAATCTACTTTTATATTTTTATTTTATGGTCCATCATCTGCTGCTGCCTGCGCCTTGGTTTCTCCATCTGTAAAATAAGAGAGTGAGAGAAGACACATCTCCAAGGCCTTTCCTAGGCTAATGTTCTGAGTCTGAGAAATGCATTAGTGGGCTGAGGAGCCCAAAAAAAATCCTTGTATTCCAAGTGGCTATCATCTAAGGGTCATATAAGGCAACTTAAATGAACACTATTTACTATATTCTGAAATATTTTATTACCCTACTTTTTATTTCCCACTTTCAACCTGCTCCAGGTGGTTGAACCTCCACCCCCATGGGCCTCTTAGAGGATTAGTGCTCCTGTGGAGATCCAATACATAGCACTCGAAAACTGTAACAAGGGAAAGTTTACAGTGATTACAATCTATTTGCCTTTACCTCATCTTATTACAGGTTATACTTGTATATTAACTTCATCATAATTCTCTGATTACCAAGGAGTTCAACTGAGGTCCTGGGTCTCTCCAGTCCTAATTAACCTTGTCCAGCTGAGCTCGTGCAAGACTGAAACATCACTACAGTATTTCTCACTCGGCAGTGGAAGCAAGAATGATTCATTCTGAGAGCTCTGTCTTCTTTGCTGCAAACTATTTGCATACTACGCAGATTTCCATAGACCTAACGTTTGGCAAGTCCCAGAAGCAGTCTGCTTTCACTCCCTTCACCTACTTCTCTGAGAAATGGCTGAGCATTATTCAGTAAATGGTCCCAACTGGGAAACTGACATCACTTCCTCATGGAACAGAATTTAAATCTAGACACTTTGAGAGGCAGTATGGTATAGTGGCTGTGTACATATTCTTGGAACAGGTAGGCTACGTTTTAAGCTAATGGTTGCTTTTGGAAGAGTTTCCCAAGGTTTCTAAGCCTCAATTTGTTGGTCTATCAAATGGGAATAACAATAGTACCTACCGCAGGATTATTGTGAGGATAAAATGAAATCCATTAAGTTCATGGCATATAAGAAACATTCAATACATTTTATTTTTTATTATTGTTAATATTAATAATTGATATTTGTGGAATGATGGAATAGTAGAGAGGAAACAGAAGATTTATTTTATGAATAAGGAAATGAAGTAGGCAAGAAGTGACTTTATACCTTCTGTAGACATTTGCCAAGGAGCACTCAGCATGACCTAGTCCCTCAGCACTTAAAATTTAATGTCTAACGCTCATCTCTACCCCTCAAACAATAAGATGTAGTCGTTAACTGTGCCTATGGGATCAGAGAAGGCTTTCCAGAGGAAGTGTCAACCAAATTGGTCTTAATGAATCAGTTTCATCCTTCAACACCCCACCTCAATCTTTAAAACCAAGCTTAAGTGTCCCCTCCTCCATGAAGCCCTCCTTTACTCCCTCCTTTCTGCCCAATACGTCGTTAACCATTTTCTCCACCATTTAATTTCTGTACTTTGTCTATACTGACACATTTGCACATAAAATCCACACAAAAGGGGAGATTTCTTACTTCTCTGCCAGTTTTTTATTTCACTAACACACAGCCCAGTGCGTGGAAGACAGCAGACAATCAGAATCGCCGACATCTATGATGTGTGAACTGTGTAGAGGCACTCTTCTAAGTTCTATATTTACATACATTTACTTAACCTCCCCACAAATCTGTGAGGATGCTGAAACACGAAGCAGTTTAGGGATTTGCCCAAGATTACTCAACAGCCAGGATTTGAACCCTAGCACTTAGGGAAACCCTTGCTCCTAACCATTATGTAATACTTCCACATAAGTGTTCACTGAACTGGACACTTTAATGTTTGCCAAGTGCTAGGCACTTTACATGTATTATTTTATTTAATTTTCAGTACAATACTCGGATGTGGGCTGTATTCTAGTACTGAGGTCTAGTATCTTTATGTACCTTGCCCAAGAACACATGGATAGTAAGTAAGAAACCAGAGTTTAAATCCAAGCCTGTTATCACCAGAGCCTGAAACCTTGTCTACTACCCCAATATTTCCAAAAGTGTTATGTGGGCATTCCTAGTGCCATATGAGATTATTTTTATGTGGCTTATGGATGATTTTTAAAATATTATTATTTTTGAGACAGAATCTTGCTCTGCCACCCAGGCTGGAGTACAGTGGCATAATCTCGGCTCATTGCAACCTCTGCCTCCCAGGTTCAAGCAATTTTCATGCCTCAGCCTCCTGAGTAGCTGGGACTACAAGTGCATGCGACCACGCCTGGCGAATTTTTTTTTTTTTTTTTTGTAGTAGTAGTAGTAGTAGAGATGGGTTTTTGCTATGTTGGCCAAGCTGGTCTTGGACTCCCAGCCTCAAGTGATCCACCTGCCTTGGCCTCCCAAGGTGCTAGGATTACAGACATGAGCGACCACGCCTGGCTGAAGATATATTATTTTAATACTTGTATATTTGTTATAATGCATGCTACAAAAAATTTGACTAGATTCTTAAACCCATGATTTTACTGATGAAAATTCTTAGGATGAGGAGGCTGGAGTAGATTTAAGTGTTAGATTGTGTCATTTGAAAAACTGTTAAGTAGGTGGGTGTGGTGGCTCACCTCTATAATCCCAGCACTTTGGGAGGCCGAGGCAGGCAGATTGTTTGAGATCAGGAGTTTGAGACCAGCCTGGCCAACATGGCGAAACCCTGTCTCTACTAAAAATACAGAAAATTAGCCGGGCATGGTGGCACATGCCTGTAGTCCCAGCTGAGCTGTTTGGGAGGCTGAGGCAGGAGAATCGCTTGAACCTGGGAGGGGGAGGTTGCAGTGAGTTGAGATTGCATCATTGCACTCCAGCCTGGGGCGAGGGGAGGGGAGGGGAGGGGAGGGAAGGGGAGGGGAGGGGAGGGGAGGGGAGGGGAGTTGGATTATGGATATGAGAAGTTGGTGCATAGACGACCTGAGGTTCAGGAAGCTGAGTGTTATTCTTCCCTGACTCCTCAATATGTGAGAAAGATAGTAACAGAAAGAAATGTGAGAGCACTTCAGATGAGCAAAGGTGTGAAGTCAGGTTCACACAGGTATTGTTCTGAACTTGTCTGCCTGGAATTCTGAACTTTATTCAGTAGAAAATGGAGAGCCCACAGAGATTTAGGACCAGAGGTGGATGACTATCTATTAATATTTATCCTTTAAAGTCATTGTGTGTTTATTATCCATCTGGATTTACAATAGCTTGACAAGATCAATGGGTAAACAATATCACAAATATGTATTAGCTGACAGCCCCCTAGCCATCCTGCTCAGGAGACAGCGCTATAAAACCTGAAAGGTGATGATGCAGGCTGTGATGTGCATAAGTGATTTAGGGTCTGCCTCTACCATTTACCTGTGCACTTTACCATTTAGGGCATTCTCCTCCTTTTAGAAAGTTGTTTCCAACCTCGAAGTGTGGCAATCTTGCATCTTCCTCTATTTGAAATCGTAAAACTAATTGAACAATTCCTTGAACCTAATGGCTTTGGAAAAATCAATAATTGCCTCCCGTTATTGATATAGTGGAAGCACATGGAAGAAATTACCCAAAACAGAAATAAGGCAGTTAAAATAAATAATTCAACGAGCTGTCTGGCAGTATGCAAATTTTGAACTTGAACAATTACATGGAGTTTCTTAAGTATAAATAATCAAAGAAATGCACTCAGTGCTGCCAGGGTGTGCACTAACAGTACAGGAGCAAAGATATCAATTCCTGACACTCACCCCACTGTTTGGACTGATAGACTTACACACAAAATATATTACACAACAAGAAATAGGTTGTTGGCTGTAGGGTGTGGGGTTGGGGGTATGTGTGGGGTTGTGGGTGGGGGAGAGATGACACTGGCTCCCAATTAGTGTGATTAGTATTTGAGATTAGATCATGGTGTTAATAATTATATGTTACAAAGTGCTGTCACATCCACCTATATCTCGCTATAAATCAGCTAGATATTTTGCAAATGGGGAAACTGGAGACCAGCAACATGAATTGACTTATAATTTAAACTATAGCATAGGTTTGCACAGTTTTCAATTATTACTAGCTTTGACTTTTTATTACTTCCTACCTTCAAAAGAGTCTGTAATACTCAAGTCTCTGTTTTCTACCTAAGAAACCTACAGTTAAGAAAGGAACTGTCATTTATTTGGTGAAGGTCGCATAGCTAAAATAGGATAGGGCCAGGATTTAAACACAGTTCAGGCTTCTAGTCCTGGGCCCCTTTCCCAGACTCCTCAGTTATTGATGTGTCTCTTCCCAAGGCAAGGAGGTGAGGTAATCAGAAAAAGCAGCCTCTGGCTAAGAACCCATGATATTCCACAGCAGAACTTGGGACCTTGGATTGAGCAGGACTTTCAGCCAGTTTTTTAGAGTGACCTGCTGCTTTGCCCTAGTTCCAGTCATCAGAGATTGAGGCAGAGGGGGGCAGATGTTTGTAATTGACAGAAACGTGGGTCATAGGTCCTGATATTCTGAAGACAAGAATTACAAAAGGATTGTGTGAGGGTATAATAAAGTGAAATGACCATACTCTTCCCTGCTACTCTTCCCCCATTTATCTCCCCTTCTCAAAATGGTTGTGTCACAGAATCATGTCAGAAAGCAAGAATTAAAAAAGCATCAAGGGGATGGTCCAGTGTGGGTTGCCATTAAAGACACTCCAGGAAGCCTTCCACTCACTCATTGTTCCTGCTCACTATTGTATCCCATGAAGAATAATACGAGGTGATGCTTAACACAGCACTTAGTACGTGCCCGTCATTTTCCTAAGTGGTTTATGAATTTTAACTCATTTAACCCTCACAATAATCTATGGGTAGATACCTTTACCACCACCATTTAACAGATGAGGAAACTGAGACGTGCAAAGGGTAAGTGCTTCAAGATCCAAGGCACCATAGTGGTAGAGTAAGGATTCAAATGCAGCCCAGTGGCTCTAGAACTCATGTTGTAAACTGTGACATGATATTCCGGTGGTGAGTAGCCTATGCTTGCCTGTTCAGATCCATTCTACACCCTGACCACATGGTTCTATGCCACGGAGTTAAGTGCACTGCCTCAACAAGCACCATTGTCTTTTGACTTCTGCCTGAGTTTGGCCAATGAGAGGCACCAACAGGAAGTCAGATGGAAGAAAGGTGGGTTGGGTGGTTAGCCTCTTGACTCCCTTTCTGCCAAGGCCACAGATGCCTCCACCGGAAGCCACAGCTCCTGTTGAGAAGCCCTCTCCGGTAGCTACAGCTGCAGCTGCAGCTCTATCCTGGCTCGGAAAACCCGCCTCCCATTTCCTTCCTCAGGCTTAAAGGTGGACAGGGCTCCCAGCTCTTGTTATTGCTGGAGCTCTTCCCTATCCTTTTTAGGTTTCCCTTTGCCTGTCCACACCTAGGTTGTCTCTTCCTTAAACTACTCTCAGTTTGAATGAACCACCTGTTTCAGGCTGGGATATTGACTGACACAACTGATTCTAGCAGTGTTGTTTGCACGAGGTAAGCACTTAATAAATATATGTTAGAGAAAAGAAAGAAGGAAGGCAGGGAGATGGAAAGAGTGAGAGAGGGAGGGAAGGATGGAGAGGCAGGGAGGGGAGAATTAATGGCCTCTATTAAATGCATTTAGAATACCAGTCCACCTTATTTCACCTGGACTAATCACTGTTTCCTTAAAAATAATAATAATGCAGGTCGTAAAAGCTCTATCACATGTTCTTTCAACATATGTATTATTATTCACACTTTACAGTTCACAAAACTGATCCTCAAAGGGGTGAAATAATTTGTCCAAATTCAAATGTATTTTGGTGAAGTACCTGAGCCTAGACTTAGTCTGGAAATTCTGATTCCAAATCCAATCAATTTTCCTCTCATATGCTGCGATTTATGAACATTCGGTGTCTCCTTCCTGACAATGAGCCAGATATGCACGAAGTCAAAACTACCTTAGAGAAATGTCTTTCTGTTCACAATGGCTTCAACCATAATGGGAGTTTGCTTTGGGGTCCTAGCATCCTCACTGGGTTCTGCCTCTTTGTGTTTCCCCACCGTTCTCTGGCTTCCCTGAACACCAATCTTAACTTTATCTTGGGAGGGAAGAAGAAAAATGATAACAATGCTGAAAAATATATCAGTTCTATGTGGTTCCTTTCATCTCAGTCTTCCTATGTAGCCCAAGAACCATTTTTACAAGACAGTATATAGCCGTCCGTACGGGGAGGCATTAATGTGCTTTTCTGATAGCCAACTATGAAAATGTAGTTCTTTTTTTTAAACTTAGATATTGATATCTGTACAGATGGGTGGCATTTGAATGTGTCTCCATGAAATTCCTTGAGGACTTGGAAGGTCCCTCTGAGAAATGTTTATTTAAGAACCAAAAAGGCTATCATTTCTTTACATCCCATTGATTTTATTCTCTAGAAGTGCATTAATCCCGGGCCCAGACAATGCCTTTAAAGTAGACTGGATTTACTGATTAAGAAGCCACATTTTTTCTGATGGGAGGAAGAATTATGAGTATGTTTGTGGATATTTAACATTCTAAACAACTGGCCAAAAAATGAATCTAGAAGTGGATTTTGTGAACAAAAGTCAAGACAAAAGACTGAATGAATTTTTTTCAACTATACCAGGAAATTGTTTTATTCTCTAGAGTGACTTTA